>NC_000021.9:10269868-10274327 GCF_000001405.40 Homo sapiens
ACACTGAGCCTTCAATGAACTTCCGGTCCATGTAAAAGCACACCTGTCTGCATGGCAGCAGTAGGACCTCACAATGTGGATTGTGCCTTCACCCAGGAATGTTTATGCCCTATCGCCATGGTGATGGGATTAGAAATCTCCTGCCCTTGGTCATAAGTGCCACTGTCTGGGCTGAGTTTTTCAAAGGTCAGAGCAGATTGAACTTTTCTGGGTTCATTTTCCCTGATTTTGATTTTTCTTAAGGGGAACCTGTGTTCCTCCAATCGAGGTATGTTCATACTGGCCTGTCAAATGCGATCTTTTCAAATTATTAATGCTTTCAAAATTTGTTATTTAAAAAATTATCCTCTGTATTTTCCATATGCAGTTATAAATATGTTTCATGGTTATGTTTTATTCCTCAATTTACATATTTGATTATTGTACCAAGCAGAGTACCTTTGAAATTTTTGTTCATTTAAAAAATACGGATCTTGGCTCAGGCCTGTAATCCCAGCAATTTCGGAGGCCAAAGCAAGAGGATCACAAGGTGAGGAGATCAAGACCATCCTGGCCAATACAGTGAAGCCCTGTCTCTACTAAAACTACAAAAAATTATCCAGGCGTGGTGGCAGCTGGTGCAGTCCCAGTGTGGTGTAGTCCCAGCTACCTGGGAGGCTGAGGCAGGACAATCACTTGAACCCGTGAGGTAAAGTTTGCAGTGAGCCAACATGGCGCCATTGCACTCCAGCCTGTGAAACAGAACAAAACTCTGTCTAAAAAAAAATTATATATATATAATAAATGACATACGTAATATATAATATATATCATATATAATACGTCCTAATATATGATATATATAATATATATTCTATGTCATTTACATATATTATATATAATATATATGACATAGAATATATATTATATGAAATATATAATTTATTGTATATAAAATGTTATATATATTATATATTATATATAATATATAATATATATGATAATATTATATAATACATATTACATATATGTCATTATATTATATATATGATATATAATATACTATATATAATATATTTCATATGTAATATGATATATATTATATATGATATAAATTACATATATGATATATATTATATATTATGTGATATATATGACATGTAATATATATGACATATATAAAATATGATATATATTACATATTATATATTATAAGATATGTAACTATATATTGTATTATATATCATAATATATTATATATTATAATTATTATTTAATATAATATTATATATTATATAATATATATTATATTATATTATTATTCTATATAATATATATTATATATTATATGTTTAATATAATATGTAATATAATATACTTATATTATGATATATTATATATCATGTATATTATACACTATATATTATATATAATATAAACTATATATTATATATAATATATAGTATATATTATATACTATATATTATATATAGTATATATTATATATAATATAAACTATATGTATTATATATTATATAATATATAATGTATATAGTATATATTATATAATATATAATGTATATAGTATATATTATATATTATATTATATAATTATATATAATTATATAAATATATATAATTATATATATTATACAATATATAATTATATATTTTATATTATATTATATATAATATATATAATATCAGGATGCAGGATGTAAAAGGAAATATCTATAATATATATTATATATATTTTATATTATATTATCTATACTTAAATATATATATAAATATGTGGGGATGTCCTGTTTCGAATCTCATAACTTATTTTAAGAAGCACAGCATAATAATATGTGGGCTTGGGATTCAGTTTTTGAAACAGAACAATGAGCCTTCAATGACCTTCCTGTACATGTAAAAGCACAACTGTCTGCATGGCAGCAGTTGGACCTCACAATGTGGATTGTGCCTTCACCATGGAATGTTTATACCCTATCGCCATGGTGATGGGATTAGGGATCTCCTGCCCTTGGTCCTAAGTGCCACTGTCTGTGCTGAATTTTTCGAAGGTCACAGCAGATTGAACATTTGTGGTTTCATTTTCCCTGATTTTGATTTTTCTTATGGGGAACCTGTGTTGCTGCATTCAAGGTATGTTCATACTGGCCTGTCAAATGCGAACTCTTCAAATTACTAGTTAATGCTTTCAAAATATCCTATTTAAAAAATTATCCACTGTATTTTCCATATGCAGTTATAAACATGTTTCATGGTTACGTTTTATTAATCAATTTATATATTTGATTATTGTACCAAGCAGAGTACCTTAGAAATTTTTCTTCATTTAAAAAATATGTATCTTGGCTCAGGCCTGTAATCCCAGCACGTTGGGAGGCCAAGGCAAGAGGTTAACAAGGTGAGGAGATCAAGACCATCGTGGCCAAAATAGTGAGACCCTGTCTCTACTAAAAATACAAAAAATTAGCCAGGCATGGGGGCAGCTGGTGTACTCCCAGTGTGGTGTCGTCCCAGCTACCTGGGAGGCTGAGGCAGGACAATCGCATGAACCTGTGAGGCAGAGGTTGCAGTGAGCCAAGATGGCGCCATTGCACTCCAGCCTGTGAAACAGAACAAGACTCTGTCTAAAAAAAAATTATATATATATAATATATATCATATATATTATACATTATATAATACATATGTAATATATTATATATAATATATATTATATGTCATAGTATATATAATATATATAATATACATTATATGTCAGTACATATATATATTATGTCAGTATATATAATACATACCATATGTCATATATATTTTATATTTATTATATATATTAATGTATATATAATATACATTATTATATATTATATATGAAATTATATAATATAATTATATTTAATATAAGATATATATAATATGATATATAACATATATAATATATATCTTTTGCGATATATAATATGTATATAATTTATAATATATATCATATATGATATATAATATGTATATATTTTATAATATATATCAAATTATATATAATATGCATATATTTTATATATATCATATATATAAGATAATTATACATATAATAATTATACTGTATATAACAAATTATATAAATTATTCTATATAATATATAATAATATATATGTAATTATATAATAATTATATGTATAATATATAACATAATATATAATATACATTATATATTATATATAATATATAATATACATTATATATTATATATAATATATAATATACATTATATATTATATATAATATATAATATACATTATATATTATATATAATGTATAATATACATTATATATTATATATAATATACATTATACATTATATATAATATATAATATGTATTTTAATATATATGTAACATATATTGTATAAAATAAAATATATAATATATAATACGTAATAATATATAATACATAGTATATTATGATATATAGAAAATATAATGTAATTATATATAATATATAATTATATATAATATATTATATAGTTATATAACAAAACATACATAATATATATCATGTTATATATAATATATAACATATATATTGTATGTCATATATTATATGTTATATATCATATATAATATATTATAAATCTATATATCGTATATTATATATTATATATCTTATCTTACATACCATATATATCATATATCATGTATATAATACATTTATAATATGTATGCTATATATTATGTGTAATATATGGTATACATTATATTATATATATTATAAAATATCTTATATATTATATATAATATATATTATACATAATATATAATATATATTTAATATATATTACACATAATATATATTTAATATATATATTACACATAATATATATTTAATATATATATTACACATAATATATATAATATATATTACATATATGTCAAAATATAATGTATATTGTATGTCATTTTGTATATTTAATAATTGTATATTATTATATATTATTATATTATATATAATATATATAAGATGCATCATATAAAAGGGAATTATATATATGTTATATATATTAAATATATAATTAATATCTGTAATATATATAACATATATATATATTTGTGTGTGCCCTATTTCCCATCTCATAACTTAGTTTAAGAAGCACAGCATAATAATGTGTGGGGTTGGGATTCAGTTTTTGAAACAAAACACTGAGCCTTCAATGAACTTAATGTACATGTAAAACGACTCCTGTCTCCCAGGCAGCAGTTGGACCTCACAATGTGGATTGTGCCTTCACCCTGGAATGTTTATGCCCTATCGCCATGGTGATGGGATTAGGGATCTCCTGCCCTTGGTCCTAAGTGCCACTGTCTGTGCTGAGTTTTTCGAAGGTCAGAGCAGATTGAACCTTTGTGGTTTCATTTTCCTAATTGTCATTTTTCTTATGGGGAACCTGTGTTGCTGCATTCAAGGTATGTTC
>NC_000021.9:10864560-10887097 GCF_000001405.40 Homo sapiens
AGCATTCTGAGAAATTACTTTGTGATGTGTGCATTCATCACAAAGAGTTGAACCTTTCTTTTGGTTGAGCAGTTTTGAAGCACTCTTTTTGTAGAATCTGTAAGTGGATATTTGGAGTTCTTTGAGGCTTATGGTGGTAAAGGAAATATCTTCACACAAAAACTACACAGAACCATTCTGAAATACCTCTTTGTGATGCTTGCATTCATCTCACATAGTTGAACCATTCTTTTTATTGAGCAGTTTTGAAACAATCTCCTTGTAGAATGTGCAAGTGGATATTTGGAATGCTTTGATGAGTATGGTGGAAAATGAAAAATCTTCACATAAAAACTAGACAGAATTACTCTGAGAAACTTCTTTGTGATGTGCACATTCATCTCACAAATTTGAAAATTTCTTTTGATTGAGCAGTTTTGAAACGCTCTTTTTCTAGAATCTGCCAGTGGTTATTTGGAGTGCTTTGAGTCCTATGGTGGAGAAGGAAATATCCTCACATAAAAACTAGAGAGAAGCATTCTGAGAAACTTCTTTCTGATGTGTGCATACATCTCACGGAGTTGAAACTTTCTATTGATTTAGCATTTTTTATACACTTTTTGTAGGATCTGCAGTTGCTATTTGGAGCCCTTTGGGGCCAATGGTGGAAAAGTACTATCTTCTCATAAAAACTAGACAGAAGCATTCTGAGAAACTTCTTGGTGATGTGTGCATTCATCTCACAGTAGTTGAACCTTTCTTTTGATTGAGCAGTTTTGAAACGCTCTTTTCGTTGAATCTGCAAGTGCATATTTAGAGTGCTTTGAGGCACGTGGTGGAAAAGGAAATATCTTCACATAAACACTAGACAGAAGCATTCTGAGAAATGTCTTTGTGATGTGTCCATTCACTTCACAGAGTTGAAACTTTCTTTTCATTGAGCAGTTTTGAAACACTCTTTTTATAGAATATGCAAGTGGATATTTGGAGCGTTTTGGAGAGAATGGTGGAAATGGAAATATCTTCATATAAAAACTACGGAGAAGCATTCGGAGAAACGGCTTTGTTATGTGTGACTTCAGCTCACACAGTTGAACCTTTCTTTTGATTGAGCATTTTTGATTCCCTCTTTTTGTAGAATCTGCAAGTGGATATTTGGAGAGCTTTAGGGCCTACGGTGGAAAAGGAAATATCTTCACATAAAAACTACACAAAAGCATTCTGAGAAACTTCTTTCTGATGTGTGCATACAACTCACAGAGTCGAAACTTTCTTTTGATTGTGCAGTTTTGAAACACTTCTTTTGTAGAATCTGCAAGTGGATATTCAGAGGGCTTTGTGGAGTATAGTGGAAAAGGAAATAACTTTGGATAAAAGCTAGACAGCAGAATTCTGAGAAACTTCTTTGTGATGTGTGCATTCAACGTACAGAGTTGAACCTTTCTTTAGATTTGGCAGTTTTGAAACACTACTTTTGTAATATCTGCAAGTGGATATTTGGTGACCATTGCAGCCTATGGTGGAAAGGCAAATATCTTCACATAAAAACTAGACCAAGGCATTCTGAGAATCTTCTTTGTGATGTGTGCATTCTTCTCACACAGTTCAACTTTTCTTTTGATTCAGCAGTTTGGAAACAGTATTTTTCTACAATCTGCAAAGGGATACTTCTTAGCCGATTTAGGCCTATGGTGAATTAGGAAATATCTTCACATAAAAAATAAACAGAAACTTTCTGAGAAACTTCTTTGGGATGTGTGTTTTCATCTCACAGAGATGAAACTTTCTTTTGATTGAGCAATTTGGAAACTCTCTTTTTGTAGGATCTGCAAATGGATATTTAGAGTGCTTTGAGGCCTGTGGTGAAAAAGGAAATATCTCCACATAACAACTAGACAGAAGCATTCTGGGAACATCTTTGTGATGTGTGCATTCATCTCACAGAGTTGAACCTTTCTTTTGATTGAGTAGTTTGGAAACAGTCTTTGATAGTATCTGCAGAGAGATATTTGTGAGCATTTTGAGGACTTTGGTGAGAAAAGAAATATCTTCATATAAAACCTAGTCAGAAGCATTCTGAGAAACTTCTTTGTGATGTGTGCATTCATCTGACAGAGTTGAAACTTTGTTTTGATTGAGCAGTTTGGAAACAGTCCTTTTGTAGGATCTGCAAAGGGATATTTCTGAGCCCATTGAGACCTATGGTGAAAGAAGAAATATCTTCACTTAAAAACTAGACATAAGCATTCTGAGAAACTTCTTAGTGATGTGTGCTTTCATCTCACAGGTTTGAACTTTCTTTTGATTGAGCAGTTTGGAAACAGTGTTTTTGTAGAATCTGCAAAGGATATTTTGAGCGCTTTGACGCCTATGGTGAAAAAGGACATATCTTCACATGAAATCTAAACAGAAGCTTTCTGAGAAACTTCTTTTTTATGAGTTCATACATCTCACAGAGGTGAAACTTTCTTTTCATTGAGCAGTTTGGAAACAGTCTTTTTGTACAGTCTGCAAAGGAAATATCTGCGAAGTTGGAGGCCTATGGTGAAAAAGAAATATCTTCAGATAAAATGTAGACAGATGTATTCTGAGAAAATTTTTTGTGATGTATCCATTCATCTCACAGAGTTGAAATTTTCTTTTGATGGAGCAGTCTGGAAACAGTCTTTTTGTAGTATCTGAAGAGGTATATGTGAGAACAGTTTAAGGCCTCTGGTGGAAAAGGAAATATCTTCACATAAAACTAGGTAGAAGCATTCTAAGAAACTTCTTTGTATTGTGTGCATTCATCTCAAAGACTTGAACCTGTATTTGGACTGAGCAGTTTGGAAACTGTCGTTTTGTAGAATCTGTGAAGGGATATTTCTGAGCCCATTGAGGCCTATGGATGAAATAGGAAATATCTTCACATAAAAACTAGACAGAGGATTTCTGAGAACCTTCTTTGTCATATGTGGTTTCATCTCACAGAGTTGAACCATTCTTTTGGTTGAGCAGTTAGGAAACAGTCTTTTTGTAGGATCTGCAAAGAGATATTTCTGTTCCCATTGATGCCTATGGTGAAAAAGGACATATCTTCACATAAAAACTAGACAGAAGCTTTCTGATAAACTTCTTAGTGATGTGTGCTTTCATGTCACAGATTTGAAACTTTCTTTTGATTGATCAGTTTGGAAACAGTCTTTTTGTAGAATCTGCAAATGGATATTTGGAGTGCTTTGAGGCCTATGGTGAAAAAGGAAATACCTTCACATGAAATATAAACAGAAGCTTTCTGAGAAACTTCTTTTTGATGCGTGCATACATCTCACAGAGTTGAATATTTCTTTTCATTGAGCAGTTTGGAAACAGTCTTTTTGTACAATCTGGAATGGGATATTTCTGAGAAGTTGGAGGCCTATATCGAAAAAGAAATAGTATTCTGAGAAACTTCTTTGAGATGTATCCTTTCATCTCACAGAATTGAACCTTACTTTTGATGGAGCAGTTTGGAGACAGTCTTTTTGTAGTATCTGCGGAGGGATATCTGAGAGCAGTTTAAGGCCTATGGTGAAAAAGGAAATATCTTCACATAAAAACTAGGCAGAAGCATTCTGAGAAACTTCTTTGTGATGTATGCATTCAACTCAAAGAGGTGAAACTTTCTTTGGATTGAGCAGTTTGGAAATAGTCCTTTTGCAGAATCTGCAAAGGGATATTTCTCAGTCCATTGAGGCCTATGGTGAAATAGGAAATAACTTCTCATAAAAACCAGACAGAAGGTTTCTGAGAAACTTCTTTGAGATATGTGCTTTCATCTCACAGAGCTGAACCTTTCTTTTGGCTCAGAAGTTTGGAAACAGTCTTTGTGTAGAATCTGCAAAGCGCTATTTTTGAGCACCTTCTGGACTGTGGTGAAACAGAAAATATCTTCACATAAAAACTAGACAGAAGCTTTCTGAGAAACTTCTTTATGATGTGTTCTTTCATCTCACAGAGTTGTAAATTTCCTTTGATTGAGCAGTTTGGAAACACTCTTTATGGGGAATCTGCAAGTGGATATTTGGAGTGCTTTGTGGCCTATAGTGGAAAATGAAATATCTTCACATAAAAACTAGATAGAATCATTCTGAGAAACTTCTTTGTGATGTGCACATTCATCACAAAGAGTTGAACATTTCTTTCGATTCAGCAGTTTGGAAACAGTCCTTATGTAGAATCTGTGAAGGGATATTTCTCAGACCATTGATGCCTATGGATGAAATAGGAAATATTCTCACAAAAAAACTAGACAGAAAATTTCTGAGAAACTTCTTTATGATATGTGGTTTCATCTCACAGAGTTGAACCGTTCTTTTGTTTGAGCAGTTTGGAAACACATTTTTTGTAGAATCTGCAAGTGGATATTTGGAGCACATTGAGGCCTATGGTGGAAAACGGAATATTTTCACATAAAAATTAGACAGAATCATTCTGAGAAACTTCTTTGTGATGTGTGCATTCAACCCACAGAGTTCAACCTTTCTTTAGATTCAACAGTTTTGAAACACTCTTTTTGTAAAATCTGCCAGTGGATTTTTGGAACGCTTTGAGGCCTACGGTGGAAAAGGAAATATCTTCACATAAATAGTACATAGAAGCATTCTGAGAAACTTCTTTGTGATGTGTGCATTTAACTCAAAGAGTGCAATCCTTCTTTTGATTGAGCAGTTTTGAAAGACTCCTTTTGTAGAATCTGTAAGTGGATATTTGGAGCGCTATGTGGCCTTAAGTGGAAAAGGCAATATCTTCACATAAAAACTAGACAACAGCATTCTGAGAAACTTCTTTGTCATGTGTGCATTCATCTCACAGAGTTGAAGCTTTCTTTTGATTGAGCAGTTTTGAAACACTCTTTTTGTAGAATCTCCAATTGGATACTTGGAGCGTTTTGAGGCTTATGGTAGAAAAGTAAATATTTTCACGTGAAAACTACACAGAAGCATTCTGAGAAATTGGTTTGTGATGTGTGCATTCAACACACAGAGTTGAACCTTTCTTTTGATTTAGCAGTTTTGAAACACACTTTTTTTTGGATCTGCAAGTGGATATTTGGAGTGCTTTGTGGCCTAATGCGGAAAAGGATATATTTTCACATAAAAACTATGGAGAAGCATTCTGAGAAACTTCTTTGTGATGTGTGCATTCATCTCACAGAGTTCAACCTTTCTTTTGATTGAGCAGTTTTGAAACGCTCTTTTTGTAGAGTGTGCAAGCAGATATTTGGAGCTCTTTGAGGCTTATGGTGGAAAAGGAAATATCTTCACATAAAAACTACAGAGAAGCATTCTGACAAAGTTCTTTGTGTTGTGTGTGTTCAACTCACAGAGTTGAGTCTTTCTTTTGATTGAGCAGTTTTGAAACACTCTTTTTTTAGAATCTGCAAGTGGATATTTCGAGTGCTTTGCAGCCTCTGTTGGAAAAGGAAATATCTTCACATAAACTAGACAGAAGCATTCTGAGAAACTTCCTTGTGATGTGTGCATTCATCTCACAGAGAGGAAACTTTCTTTTGATTGTGAAGTTTTCAAACACTCTTTTTGTATAATCTGCAAGTGGATATTTGGAGGTCTTTGTGGCCTATAGGGGAAAAGGAAATATCTTCACATAAAAACTACAGAGAAGCATTCTGAAAAACATCTTTGTGATGTGTGCATTCATCTCAAAGAGTTCAACCTTTCTTTTGATTGAGCACTTTTGAAATACTTTTTGGAGAATCTGTAAGTGGATATTTGGAGGGCTTTGGGTCCTATGGTGGTAAAGGAAACATCTTCACATAAAAACTACACAGAAGCATTCTGAAATACCTCTTTGTGATGCTTGCATTCATCTCACATAGTTGAACCATTCTTTTTATTGAGCAGTTTTGAAACAATCTCCTTGTAGAATGTGCAAGTGGATATTTGGAATGCTTTGATGAGTATGGTGGAAAATGAAAAATCTTCACATAAAAACTAGACAGAAGTACTCTGAGAAACTTCTTTGTGATGTGCGCATTCATCTCAGATTTGAAAATTTCTTTTGATTGAGCAGTTTTGAATCGCTCTTTTTTTAGGATCTGCCAGGGGATATTTGGAGTGCTTTGAGGCCTATGGTGGAGAAGGAAATATCCTCACATAAAAATTAGAGAGAAGGATTCTGAGAAACTTCTTTGTGATGTGTGCATACATCTCACAGAGTTTAAACTTTCTATTGATTTAGCATTTTTTAAACACTTTTTGTAGGATCTGCAGTGGATATTTGGAGCCCTTTGGGGCCTATGGTGGAAAAGAATTATCTTCTCATAAAAACTAGACAGAAGCATTTTGAGAAACTTCTCTGTGATGTGTTCATTCATCTCACAGATTTGAACCATTCTTTTGATTCAGCAGTTTTGAAACACTCTTCGTAGAATCTGCAAGTGCATATTTAGATCGCTTTGAGAAGTGTGGTGGAAAAGGAAATATCTTCACATAAACACTAGACAGAAGCATTCTGAGAAACGTCTTTATGATGTGTCCATTCATCTCACAGAGTTGAAACTTTCTTTTCATTGAGCAGTTTTGAAACACTCTTTTTATAGAATCTGCAAGTAGATATTTGGAGTGCTTTGGAGAGAATGGTGGAAACGGAAATATCTTCATATAAAAACTACGGAGAAGCATTCTGAGAAACGGCTTTGTTATGTGTGCCTTCAACTCACAGAGTTGAAACTTTCTTTTGATTGAACAGTTTTGAATCCCGCTTTTTGTAGAATCTGCAAGTGGATATTTGGAGAGCTTTGGGGCCTATGGTGGAAAAGGAAATATCTTCACATAAAAACTACACAAAAGCATTCTGAGAAACTTCTTTCTGATGTGCGCATACAACTCCCAGAGTTGAACCTTTCTTTTGATTGTGCAATTTTGAAACACTTCTTTTGTAGAATCTGCAAGTGGATATTCGGAGGGCTTTGCCGAGTATAGTGGAAAAGGAAATAACTTTGGATAAAAGGTAGACAGAAACATTCTGAGAAACTTCTATGTGATGTGTGCATTCAACGTACAGAGTTGAACCTTTCTTTAGATCGGGCAGTTTTGAAACACTATTTTTGTAATATCTGCAAGTGGATATTTGATGACCATTGCAGCCTATGGTGGAAAGGCAAATATCTTCACATAAAAACTAGACAGAAGCTTTCTGAGAAACTTCTTTGCGATGTGTGCATTCATTTCACAGAGTTCAACTTTTCTTTTGATTCAGCAGTTTGGAAACAGTATTTTTGTACAATCTGCAAAGGGATACTTCTTAGCCAATTTAGGCCTATTGTGAATTAGGAAATATCTTCACATAAAAAATAAATGGAAGCTTTCTGAGAAACTTCTTTGGGATGTGTGTTTTCATCTCACAGAGATGAAACTTTCTTTTGATTGAGCAGTTTCGAAACTCTCTTTTTGTAGGATCTGCAAATGGATATTTGGAGCGCTTTGAGGCCTGTGGTGAAAAAGGAAATATCTTCACATAACAACCAGACAGAAGCATTCTGGAAACATTTTTGTGATGTGTGCATTCATCTCACAGAGTTGAACCTTTCTTTTGATTGAGCAGTTTGGAAACAGTCTTTTATAGTATCTGCAGAGAGATATTTGTGAGCATTTTGAGGACTTTTGTGAGAAAGGAAATATCTTCATATAAAACCTAGTCAGAAGATTCTGAGAAACTTCTTTGTGATGTGTGCATTCAACTGATAGAGTTGAAACTTTGTTTTGATTGAGCAGTTTGTAAACAGTCCTTTTGTAGGATCTGCAAAGGGATAGTTCTGGGCCCATTGAGACCTATGGTGAAAGAAGAAATATCTTCACTTAAAAACTAGACAGAAGCATTCTGAGAAACTTCTTAGTGATGTGTGCTTTCATCTCACAGGTTTGAACTTTCTTTTGATTGAGCAGTTTGGAAACAGTGTTTTTGTAGAATCTTCAAAGGATATTTTGAGCGCTTTGACGCCTATGGTGAAAAAGGACATATCTTCACATGAAATCTAAACAGAAGCTTTCTGAGAAACTTCTTTTTTATGAGTTCATACATCTCACAGAGGTGAAACTTTCTTTTCATTGAGCAGTTTGGAAACAGTCTTTTTGTACAGTCTGCAAACAAAATTTCTGCGAAGTTGGAGGCCTATCGTGAAAAAGAAATATCTTCAGATAAAATGTAGACAGAAGTATTCTGAGAAAATTTTTTGTGATGTATCTATTCATCTCACAGAGTTGAATTTTTCTTTTGATGGAGCAGTCTGGAAACAGTCTTTTTGTAGTATCTGCAGAGGGATGTGTGAGAGCAGTTTAAGGCCTGTGGTGAGAAAGGAAATATCTTCACATAAAAACTAGGTAGAAGCATTCTAAGAAACTTCTTTGTATTGCGTGCATTCATCTCAAAGACTTGAACTTGTCTTTGGACTGAGCAGTTTGGAAACTGTCGTTTTGTAGAATCTGTGAAGGGATATTTCTGAGCCCATTGAGGCCTATGGATGAAATATGAAATATCTTCACATAAAAACTAGACAGAGGATTTCTGAGAAACTTCTTTGTGATATGTGGTTTCATCTCACAGAGTTGAACCATTCTTTTGGTTGAGCAGTTAGGAAACAGTCTTTTTGTAGGATCTGCAAAGGGATATTTCTGTTCCCATTGATGCCTATGGTGAAAAAGGACATATCTTCACATAAAAACTAGACAGAAGCTTTCTGATAAACTTCTTAGTGATGTGTGCTTTCATGTCACAGATTTGAAACTTTCTTTTGATTGAGCAGTTTGGAAACAGTCTTTTTGTAGAATCTGCAAATGGATATTTGGAGTGCTTTGAGGCCTATGGTGAAAAAGGAAATACCTTCACATGAAATATAAACAGAAGCTTTCTGAGAAACTTCTTTTTGATGCGTGCATACATCTCACAGAGTTGAACGTTTCTTTTCATTGAGCAGTTTGAAAACAGTCTTTTTGTACAATCTGGAATGGGATATTTCTGAGAAGTTGGAGGCCTATATCGAAAACGAAATATCTTCACATAAAAACTAGACAGAAGTATTCTGAGAAACTTCTTTGAGATGTATCCTTTCATTTCACAGAGTTGAACCTTACTTTTGATGGAGCAGTTTGGAGACAGTCTTTTTGTAGTATCTGCAGAGAGATATCTGAGAGCAGTTTAAGGCCTACGGTGAAAAAGGAAATATCTTCACAAAAACCTAGGCAGAAGCATTCTGAGAAACTTCTTTGTGATGTATGCATTCATCTCAA
The DNA here is from genome assembly GCF_000001405.40 of Homo sapiens. Lineage (NCBI taxonomy): Eukaryota > Metazoa > Chordata > Mammalia > Primates > Hominidae > Homo > Homo sapiens. Next base: position 10,873,806 of record NC_000021.9, read on the forward strand.
AGAGGTGAAACTTTCTTTGGATTGAGCAGTTTGGAAACAGTCCTTTTGTAGAATCTGCAAAGGGATATTTCTCAGCCCATTGAGGCCTATGGTGAAATAGGAAATATCTTCCCATAAAAACCAGACAGAAGGTTTCTGAGAAACTTCTTTGAGATATGTGCTTTCATCTCACAGAGCTGAACCTTTCTTTTGGTTCAGAAGTTTGGAAACAGTCTTTGTGTAGAATCTTCAAAGGGCTATTTTTGAGCACCTTCTGGACTATGGTGAAACAGAAAATATCTTCACATAAAAACTAGACAGAAGCTTTCTGAGAAACTTCTTTATGATGTGTTCTTTCATCTCACAGAGTTGTAACTTTCCTTTGATTGAGCAGTTTGGAAACACTCTTTATGGGGAATCTGCAAGTGGATATTTGGAGTCCTTTGTGGCCTATAGTGGAAAACGAAATATCTTCACATAAAAACTAGACAGAATCATTCTGAGAAACTTCTTTGTGATGTGCACATTCATCACAAAGAGTTGAACATTTCTTTCGATTGAGCAGTTTGGAAACAGTCCTTTTGTAGAATCTGTGAAGGGATATTTCTCAGCCCATTGATGCCTATGGATGAAATAGGAAATATTCTCACATAAAAACTAGACAGAAAATTTCTGAGAAACTTCTTTATGATATGTGGTTTCATCTCACAGAGTTGAACCGTTCTTTTGTTTGAGCAGTTTGGGAACACATTTTTTGTAGAATCTGCAAGTGGATATTTGGAGCACATTGAGGCCTATGGTGGAAAACGGAATATTTTCACATAAAAATTAGACAGAAGCATTCTGAGAAACTACTTTGTGATGTGTGCATTCAACCCACAGAGTTGAACCTTTCTTTTGATTCAGCAGTTTTGAAACACTCTTTTTGTAAAATCTGACAGTGGATTTTTGGAGTGCTTTGAGGCTTACGGTGGAAAAGGAAATATCTTCACATAAATAGTACACAGAAGCATTCTGAGAAACTTCTTTGTGATGTGTGCGTTTAACTCAAAGAGTGCAATCCTTCTTTAGATTGAGCAGTTTTGAAAGACTTATTTTGCAGAATCTGCAAGTGGATGTTTGGAGCGCTATGTGGCCTTAAGTGGAAAAGGCAATATCTTCACATAAAAACTAGACAACAGCATTCTGAGAAACTTCTTTGTCATGTTTGCATTCATCTCACAGAGTTGAAGCTTTCTTTTGATTGAGCAGTTTTGAAACACTCTTTTTGTAGAATCTCCAGTTGGATACTTGGAGCGTTTTGAGGCCTATGGTAGAAAAGTAAATATCTTCACGTGAAAACTACACAGAAGCATTCTGAGAAATTGGTTTGTGATGTGTGCATTCAACACACAGAGTTGAACCTTTCTTTTGATTGAGTAGTTTTGAAACACACTTTTTTTTAGGATCTGCAAGTGGATATTTGGAGTGCTTTGTGGCCTAATGAGGAAAAGGATATATTTTCACATAAAAACTACGGAGAAGCATTCTGAGAAACTTCTTTGTGATGTGTGCATTCATCTCACAGAGTTCAACCTTTCTTTTGATTGAGCAGTTTTGAAACGCTCTTTTTGTAGAGTGTGCAAGCGGATATTTGGAGCTCTTTGAGGCTTATGGTGGAAAAGGAAATATCTTCACATAAAAACTACAGAGAAGCATTCTGACAAAGTTCTTTGTGTTGTGTGTGTTCAACTCACAGAGTTGAGTCTTTCTTTTGATTGAGCAGTTTTGAAACACTCTTCTTTTAGAATCTGCAAGTGGATATTTCGAGTGCTTTGCAGCCTCTGTTGGAAAAGGAAATATCTTCACATAAACTAGACAGAAGCATTCTGTGAAACTTCCTTGTGATGTGTGCATTCATCTCACAGAGTTGAAACTTTCTTTTGATTGTGAAGTTTTCAAACACTCTTTTTGTGCAATCTGCAAGTGGATATTTGGAGGCCTTTGTGGCCTACAGGGGAAAAGGAAATATCTTCACATAAAAACTAGACAGAAGCATTCTGAGAAACATCTTTGTGATGTGTGCATTCATCTCAAAGAGTTCAACCTTTCTTTTGATTGAGCACTTTTGAAATACCTTTTGGAGAATCTGTAAGTGGATATTTGGAGGGCTTTGGGTCTTATGGTGGTAAAGGAAACATCTTCACATAAAAACTACACAGAAGCATTCTGAAATACCTCTTTGTGATGCTTGCATTCATCTCACATAGTTGAACCATTCTTTTTATTGAGCAGTTTTGAAACAATCTCCCTGTAGAATGTGCAAGTGGATATTTGGAACGCTTTGATGAGTATGGTGGAAAATGAAAAATCTTCACATAAAAACTAGACAGAAGTACTCTGAGAAAGTTCTTTGTGATGTGCGCATTCATCTCACAGATTTGAAAATTTCTTTTGATTGAGCAGTTTTGAAACTCTCTTTTTCTAGAATCTGCCAGTGGATATTTGGAGTGCTTTGAGGCCTATGGTGGAGAAGGAAATATCATCACATAAAAACTAGAGAGAAGCATTCTGAGAAACTTCTTTGTGATGTGTGCATACATCTCACGGAGTTGAAACTTTCTATTGATTTAGCATTTTTTATACACTTTTTGTAGGATCTGCAGTTGCTATTTGGAGCCCTTTGGGGCCAATGGTGGAAAAGTATTATCTTCTCATAAAAACTAGACAGAAGCATTTTGAGCAAATTCTTTGTGATGTGTTCGTTCATCTCACAGATTTGAACCATTCTTTTGATTCAGCAGTTTTGAAGCACTCTTCCTAGAATCTGCAAGTGCATATTTAGATCGCTTTGAGACGTGTGGTGGAAAAGGAAATATCTTCACATAAACACTAGACAGAAGCATTCTGAGAAACGTCTTTGTGATGTGTCCATTCATCTAACAGAGGTGAAACTTTCTTTTCATTGAGCAGTTTTGAAACACTCTTTTTATAGAATCTGCAAGTGGATATTTGGAGCACTTTGGAGAGAATGGTGGAAATGGAAATATCTTCATATAAAAACTATGGAGAAGCATTCTGAGAAACGGCATTGTTATGTGTGCCTTCAGCTCACAGAGTTCAACCTTTCTTTTGATTGAGCAGTTTTGATTCCCTTTTTTTGTAGAATCTGCAAGTGGATATTTGGAGAGTTTTAGGGCCTATGGTGGAAAAGGAAATATCTTCACATAAAAACTACACAAAAACATTCTGAGAAACTTCTTTCTGATGTGTGCATACAACTCCCAGAGTTGAATCTTTCTTTTGATTGTGCAATTTTGAAACACTTCTTTTGTAGAATCTGCAAGTGGATATTAGGAGGGCTTTGCCGAGTATAGTGGAAAAGGAAATAACTTTGGATAAAAGGTAGACAGAAGCATTCTGAGAAACTTCTTTGTGATGTGTGCATTCAACGTACAGAGTTGAACCTTTCTTTAGATTGGGCAGTTTTGAAACACTATTTTTGTAAAATCTGCAAGTGGATATTTGGTGACGATTGCGGCCTATGATGGAAAAGCAAATATCTTCACATAAAAACTAGACAGAAGCATTCTGAGAAACTTCTTTGTGATGTGTGCATTCATCTCACACAGTTCAACTTTTCTTCTGATTCAGCAGTTTGGAAACAGTATTTTTGTACAATCTGCAAAGGGATACTTCTTAGCCGATTTCGGTCTATGGTGAATTAGGAAATATCTTCACATAAAAACTAGACAGAAGCTTTCTGAGAAACTTCTTTGGGATGTGTGTTTTCATCTCAGAGAGATGAAACTTTCTTTTGATTGAGCAATTTCGAAACTTTCTTTTTGTAGGATCTGCAAATGGATATTTGGAGCGCTTTGAGGCCTGTGGTGAAAAAGGAAATATCTTCACATAACAACCAGACAGAAGCATTCTGGAAACATCTTTGTGATGCGTGCATTCATCTCGCAGAGTTGAACATTTCTTTTGATTGAGCAGTTTGGAAACAGTCTTTGATAGTATCTGCAGTGAGATATTTGTCAGCATTTTGAGGACTTGGTGAGAAAGGAAATATCTTCATATAAAACCTAGTCAGAAGATTCTGAGAAACTTCTTTGTGATGTGTGCATTCAACTGATAGAGGTGAAACTTTGTTTTGATTGAGCAGTTTGTAAACAGTCCTTTTGTAGGATCTGCAAAGGGATAGTTCTGGGCCCATTGAGACCTATGGTGAAAGAAGAAATATCTTCACTTAAAAACTAGACAGAAGCATTCTGAGAAACTTCTTAGTGATGTGTGCTTTCATCTCACAGGTTTGAACCTTTCTTTTGATTGAGCAGTTTGGAAACAGTCTTTTTGTAGAATCTGCAAAGGATACTTCAAGCACTTTGAGGCCTATGGTGAAAAAGGACATATCTTCACATGAAATCTAAACAGAAGCTTTCTGAGAAACTTCCTTTTGATGACTGCATACATCTCACAGAGGTGAAACTTTCTTTTCATTGAGCAGTTTGGAAACAGTCTTTTTGTAAAATCTGCAAAGGAATATTTCTGCGAAGTTAGAGGCCTATGGTGAAAAAGAAATATCTTCAGATAAAATGTAGACAGAAGTATTCTGAGAAAATTTTTTGTGATGTATCTATTCATCTCACGGAGTTGAATTTTTCTTTTGATGGAGCAGTGTGGAAACAGTCTTTTTGTAGTATCTGAAGAGGGATATGTGAGAGAAGTTTAAGGCCTGTGGTGAAAAAGGAAATATCTTCACATAAAAACAAGGTAGAAGCATTCTAAGAAACTTCTTTGTATTGTTTGCATTCATCTCAAAGACTTGAACCTGTCTTTGGACTGAGCAGTTTGGAAACTGTCGTTTTGTAGAATCTGTGAAGGGATATTTCTGAGCCCATTGAGGCCTATGGATGAAATAGGAAATATCTTCACATAAAAACAAGACAGAGGATTTCTGAGAAACTTCTTTGTGATATGTGGTTTCATCTCACAGAGTTGAACCATTCTTTTGGTTGAGCAGTTAGGAAACAGTATTTTTGTGGGATCTGCAAAGGGATATTTCTGTTCCCATTGACGCCTATGGTGAAAAAGGACATATCTTCACATAAAAACTAGACAGAAGCTTTCTGATAAACTTCTTAGTGATGTGTGCTTTCATGTCACAGATTTGAAACTTTCTTTTGATTGATCAGTTTGGAAACAGTCTTTTTGTAGAATCTGCAAATGGATATTTGGAGTGCTTTGAGGCTTATGGTGAAAAAGGAAATACCTTCACATGAAATATAAACAGAAGCTTTCTGAGAAGCTTCTTTTTGATGCATGCATACATCTCACAGAGTTGAAAGTTTCTTTTCATTGAGCAGTTTGGAAACAGTCTTTTTGTACAATCTGGAAAGGGATATTTCTGAGAAGTTGGAGGCCTATATCGAAAAAGAAATATCTTCACATAAAAACTAGACAGAAGTATTCTGAGAAACTTCTTTGAGATGTATCCTTTCATCTCACAGAGTTGAACCTTACTTTTGATGGAGCAGTTTGGAGACAGTCTTTTTGTAGTATCTGCGGAGGGATATCTGAGAGCAGTTTAAGGCCTGTGGTGAAAAAGGAAATATCTTCACATAAAAACTAGGCAGAAGCATTCTGAGAAACTTCTTTGTGATGTATGCATTCAACTCAAAGAGGTGAAACTTTCTTTGGATTGAGCAGTTTGGAAACAGTCCTTTTGTAGAATCTGCAAAAGGGTTGTTTCTCAGCCCATTGAGACCTATGGTGAAATAGGAAATATCTTCTCATAAAAACCAGACAGAAGGTTTCTGAGAAACTTCTTTGAGATATGTGCTTTCATCTCACAGAGCTGAACCTTTCTTTTGGTTCAGAAGTTTGGAAACAGTCTTTGTGTAGAATCTGCAAAGCACTATTTTTGAGCACCTTCTGGACTATGGTGAAACAGAAAATATCTTCACATAAAAACTAGACAGAAGCTTTCTGAGAAACTTCTTTATGATGTGTTCTTTCATCTCACAGAGTTGTAACTTTCCTTTGGTTGAGCAGTTTGGAAACACTCTTTATGGGGAATCTGCAAGTGGATATTTGGAGTCCTTTGTGGCCTATAGTGGAAAACGAAATATCTTCACATAAAAACTAGACAGAATCATTCTGAGAAACTTCTTTGTGATGTGCACGTTCATCACAAAGAGTTGAACATTTCTTTCAATTCAGCAGTTTGGAAACAGTCCTTTTGTAGAATCTGTGAAGGGATATTTCTCAGCCCATTGATGCCTATGGATGAAATAGGAAATATTCTCACATTAAAAACTAGACAGAAATTTCTGAGAAACTTCTTTGTGATATGTGGTTTCATCTCACAGAGTTGAACCGTTCTTTTGGTTGAGAAGATTGGAAACACTCTTTTTGTAGAATCTGCAAGTGGATATTTGGAGCACATTGAGGCCTATGGTGGAAAACGAAATATTTTCACATAAAAATTAGACAGAAGCATTCTGAGAAACTACTTTGTGATGTGTGCATTCAACCCACAGAGTTCAACCTTTCTTTTGATTCAGCAGTTTTGAAACACTCTTTTTGTAAAATCTGACAGTGGATTTTTGGAGCGCTTTGAGGCCTACAGTGGAAAAGGAAATATCTTCACATAAATAGTACACAGAAGTATTCTGAGAAACATTTTGTGATGTGTGCATTCATCTCACAGAGTTGAACCTTTCTTTTTATTGAGCAGTTTGGAAACTGTATTTTTGTAGAATCTGCAAGTGGATATTTGGAGCACTTTGAGGCCCATGGTGGAAAAGGACATATCTTCCCATAAAAACTAGACAGCAGCATTTTGAGAAACTTCTTTGTGATGTGTGGATTCATCTCACAGAGTTGAAGCTTTCTTTTGATTGAGTAGTATTGAAACACTCTTGTGGAATCTCCAATTAGATACTTGGAGCGCTTTGAGGCCTATGGTGGAAAAGGAAATATCTTCACATGAAAACTACACAGAAGCATTCTGAGAAATTGGTTTGTGATGTGTGCATTCAACACACAGAGTTGAACCTTTCTTTTGATTGAGCAGTTTTGAAACACACTTTTTTTAGGATCTGCAAGTGGATATTTGGAGTGCTTTGTGGCCTACTGCGGAAAAGGATATATCTTCACATAAAAACTACGGAGAAGCATTCTGAGAAACTTCTTTGTGATGTGTGCATTCATCTCACAGAGTTCAACCTTTCTTTTGATTGAGCAGTTTTCAACCACTCTTTTTGTAGAGTGTGCAAGTGGATATTTGGAGCACTTTGAGGCTTATGGTGGGAAAGGAAATATCTTCACATAAAAACTACAGCGAAGCATTCTGAGAAACTTCTTTCTTATGCGTGCATTCAACTCACAGAATTGAACCTTTCTTTTGATTGAGCAGTTTTGAAACACTATTTTTGTAAAATCTACAAGTGTATATTGGGTGCAATTTGCATCCAATGGTGGAAAAGCAAATATCTTCACATAAAAACTAGACAGAAGCATTCTGAGAATCTTCTTTGTGATGTGTACATTCACTTCACAGAGTTATAACTTTTTTTATTGAGGACTTTTGAAACACTCTTTTTGTAGAATCTACAAGTGGGTGTTTGGAGCACTTTGTGGCCTATAGTGGAAAAGGATGTATATTCACATAAAAACTAGACAGACAAGCATTCTGAAAAACATCTTTGTGATGTGTGCATTCATCTCAAAGAGTTCAACCTTTCTTTTGATTGAGCACTTTTGAAATACTTTTTGGAGAATCTGTAAGTGGATATTTGGAGGGCTTTGGGTCCTATGGTGGTAAAGGAAACATCTTCACATAAAAACTACACAGAAGCATTCTGAAATACCTCTTTGTGATGCTTGCATTCATCTCACATAGTTGAACCATTCTTTTTATTGAGCAGTTTTGAAACAATCTCCTTGTAGAATGTGAAAGTGGATATTTGGAACGCTTTGAGGAGTATGGTGGAAAATGAAAAATCTTCACATAAAAACTAGACAGAATTACTCTAAGAAACTTCTTTGTGATGTGCACATTCATCTCACAAATTTGAAAATTTCTTTTGATTGAGCAGTTTTGAAACGCTCTTTTTCTAGAATCTGCCAGTGTTTATTTGGAGTGCATTGAGTCCTATGGTGGAGAAGGAAATATCCTCACATAAAAACTAGAGAGAAGCATTCTGAGAAACTTCTTTGTGATGTGTGCATACATCTCACAGAGTTGAAACTTTCTATTGATTTAGCATTTTTTATACACTTTTTGAAGGATCTGCAGTTGTTATTTGGAGCCCTTTGGGGCCAATGGTGGAAAAGTATTATCTTCTCATAAAAACTAGACAGAAGCATTTTGAGAAACTTCTCTGTGATGTGTTCATTCATCTCACAGATTTGAAACATTCTTTTGATTCAGCAGTTTTGAAACACTCTTCGTAGCATCTGCAAGTGCATATTTAGATCGCTTTGAGAAGTGTGGTGGAAAAGGAAATATCTTCACATAAACACTAGACAGAAGCATTCTGAGAAACGTCTTTGTGATGTGTCCATTCATTTCACAGAGTTGAAACTTTCTTTTCATTGAGCAGTTTTGAAACACTCTTTTTATAGAATCTGCAAGTGGATATTTGGAGCGCTTTGGAGAGAATGGTGGAAAAGGAAATATCTTCATATAAAAACTATGGAGAAGCATTCTGAGAAACAGCATTGTTATGTGAGCCTTCAGCTCACGGAGTTGAACCTTTCTTTTGATTGAGCAGTTTTGAATCCCTCTTTTTGTATAATCTGCAAGTGGATATTTGGAGAGCTTTAGGGCCTATGGTGGAAAAGGAAATATCTTCACATAAAAACTACACAAAAGCATTCTGAGAAACTTCTTTCTGATGTGTGCATACAACTCCCAGAGTTGAATCTTTCTTTTGATTGTGCAATTTTGAAACACTTCTTTTGTAGAATCTGCAAGTGGATATTCGGAGGGCTTTGCCGAGTATAGTGGAAAAGGAAATAACTTTGGATAAAAGGTAGACAGAAACATTCTGAGAAACTTCTTTGTGATGTGTGCATTCAACGTACAGAGTTGAACCTTTCTTTAGATCGGGCAGTTTTGAAACACTATTTTTTTAATATCTGCAAGTGGATATTTGGTGACCATTGCAGCCTATGGTGGAAAGGCAAATATCTTCACATAAAAACTAGACAGAAGCATTCTGAGAATCTTCTTTGTGATGTGTGCATTCATCTCACACAGTTCAACTTTTCTTTTGATTCAGCAGTTTGGAAACAGTATTTTTCTACAATCTGCAAAAGGATACTTCTTAGCCGATTTAGGCCTATGGTGAATTAGGAAATATCTTCACATAAAAAATAAACAGAAGCTTTCTGAGAAACTTCTTTGGGATGTGTGTTTTCATCTCACAGAGATGAAACTACCTTTTGATTGAGCAATTTGGAAACTCTCTTTTTGTAGGATCTGCAAATGGATATTTGGAGTGCTTTGAGGCCTGTGGTGAAAAAGGAAATATCTTCACATAACAACCAGACAGAAGCATTCTGGAAACATTTTTGTGATGTGTGCGTTCATCTCACAGAGTTGAACCTTTCTTTTGATTGAGCAGTTTGGAAACAGTCTTTTATAGTATCTGCAGAGAGATATTTGTGAGCATTTTGAGGACTTTGGTGAGAAAGGAAATATCTTCATATAAAACCTAGTCAGAAGATTCTGAGACACTTCTTTGTGATGTGTGCATTCAACTGACAGAGTTGAAACTTTGTTTTGATTGAGCAGTTTGTAAACAGTCCTTTTGTAGGATCTGCAAAGGGATATTTCTGGGCCCATTGAGACCTATGGTGAAAGAAGAAATATCTTCACTTAAAAACTAGACAGAAGCATTCTGAGAAACTTTTTAGTGATGTGTGCTTTCATCTCACAGGTTTGAACTTTCTTTCGATTGAGCAGTTTGGAAACAGTGTTTTTGTAGAATCTGCAAAGGATATTTTGAGCGCTTTGACGCCTATGGTGAGAAAGGACATATCTTCACATGAAATCTAAACAGAAGCTTTCTGAGAAACTTCTTTTTTATGAGTTCATACATCTCACAGAGGTGAAACTTTCTTTTCATTGAGCAGTTTGGAAACAGTCTTTTTGTACAGTCTGCAAAGGAAATTTCTGCGAAGTTGGAGGCCTATGGTGAAAAAGAAATATCTTCAGATAAAATGTAGACAGAAGTATTCTGAGAAAATTTTTTGTGATGTATCTATTCATCTCACAGATTTGAATTTTTCTTTTGATGGAGCAGTCTGGAAACAGTCTTTTTGTAGTATCTGCAGAGGGATGTGTGAAAGCAGTTTAAGGCCTGTGGTGAAAAAGGAAATATCTTCACATAAAAACTAGGTAGAAGCATTCTGAGAAACTTCTTTATGTTCTGTGCATTCATCTCAAAGAGTTGAACCTGTCTTTGGATTGAGCAGTTTGGAAATTGTCGTTTTGTAGAATCTGTGAAAGGATATTTCTGAGCCCATTGAGGCCTATGGATGAAGTAGGAAATATCTTCATATAAAAACTAGACAGAGGATTTCTGAGAAACTTCTTTGTGATATGTGGTTTCATCTCACAGAGTTGAACCATTCTTTTGGTTGAGCAGTTAGGAAACAGTATTTTTGTGGGATCTGCAAAGGGATATTTCTGTTCCCATTGACGCCTATGGTGAAAAAGGACATATTTTCACATAAAAAGTAGACAGAAGCTTTCTGATAAACTTCTTAGTGATGTGTGCTTTCATGTCACAGATATGAAACTTTCTTTTGATTGAGCAGTTTGGAAACAGTCTTTTTGTAGAATCTGCAAATGGATATTTGGAGCGCTTTGAGGCCTATGGTGAAAAAGGAAATACCTTTGCATGAAATATAAACAGAAGCTTTCTGAGAAACTTCTTTTTGATGCATGCATACATCACACAGAGTTGAAAGTTTCTTTTCATTGAGAAGTTTGGATACAGTCTTTTTGTACAATCTGGAATGGGATATTTCTGAGAAGTTGGAGGCCTATATCAAAAAAGAAATATCTTCACATAAAAACTAGACAGAAGTATTCTGAGAAACTTCTTTGTGATGTATCCATTCATCTCACAGAGTTGAACCTTTCCTTTGATGGAGCAGTTTGGAAACAGTCTTTTTGCAGTATCTGCAGAGGGATATGTGAGAGCAGTTTAAGGGCTATGGTGAAAAAGGAAATATCTTCACATAAAAACTAGACAGAAGCATTCTGAGAAACTTGTTTGTGATGCGTGCATTCAACTCAAAGAGGTGAAACTTTCTTTGGATTGAGCAGTTTGGAAATAGTCCTTTTGCAGAATCTGCAAAGGGATATTTCTCAGTCCATTGAGGCCTATGGTGAAATAGGAAATAACTTCTCATAAAAACCAGACAGAACGTTTCTGAGAAACTTCTTTGAGATATGTGCTTTCATCTCACAGAGTTGAACCTTTATTTTGGTTCAGAAGTTTGGAAACAGTCTTTGTGTAGAATCTGCAAAGGGCTATTTTTGAGCACCTTCTGGACTATGGTGAAACATAAAATATCTTCACATAAAAACTAGACAGGAGCTTTCTGTAAGAAACTTCTTTATGATGTGTTCTTTCATCTCACAGAGTTGTAACTTTCCTTTGATTGAGCAGTTTGGAAACACTCTTTATGGGGAATCTGCAAGTGGATATTTGGAGTCCTTTGTGGCCTATAGTGGAAAACGAAATATCTTCACATAAAAACTAGACAGAATCATTCTGAGAAACTTCTTTGTGATGTGCACATTCATCACAAAGAGTTGAACATTTCTTTCGATTCAGCAGTTTGGAAACAGTCCTTTCGTAGAATCTGTGAAGGGATATTTCTCAGCCCATTGACGCCTATGGATGAAATAGGAAACATTCTCACATAAAAACTAGACAGAAAATTTCTGAGAAACTTCCTTATGATATGTGGTTTCATCTCACAGAGTTGAACCATTCTTTTGGTTGAGCAGTTTGGAAACACATTTTTTGTAGAATCTGCAAGTGGATATTTGGAGCACATTGAGGCCTATGGTGGAAAACGGAATATTTTCACATAAAAATTAGACAGAAGCATTCTGAGAAACTACTTTGTGATGTGTGCATTCAACCCACAGAGTTCAACCTTTCTTTTGATTCAGCAGTTTTGAAACACTCTTTTTGTAAAATCTGACAGTGGATTTTTGGAGTGCTTTGAGGCCTACGGTGGAAAAGGAAATATCTTCACATAAATAGTACACAGAAGCATTCTGAGAAACTTCTTTGTGATGTGTGCATTTAACTCAAAGAGTGCAGTCCTTCTTTAGATTGAGCAGTTTTGAAAGACTCCTTTTGCAGAATCTGCAAGTGGATGTTTGGAGCGCTATGTGGCCTTAAGTGGAAAAGGCAATATCTTCACATAAAAACTAGACAACAGCATTCTGAGAAACTTCTTTGTCATGTGTGCATTCATCTCACAGAGTTGAAGCTTTCTTTTGATTGAGCAGTTTTGAAACACTCTTTTTGTAGAATCTCCAATTGGATACTTGGAGTGTTTTGAGGCCTATGGTAGAAAAGTAAATATTTTCACGTGAAAACTACACAGAAGCATTCTGAGAAATTGGTTTGTGATGTGTGCATTCAACACACAGAGTTGAACCTTTCTTTTGATTGAGTAGTTTTGAAACACACTTTTTTTAGGATCTGCAAGTGGATATTTGCAATGCTTTGTGGCCTAATGCGGAAAAGGATATATTTTCACATAAAAACTACGGAGAAGCATTCTGAGAAACTTCTTTGTGATGTGTGCATTCAACTCACAGAGTTGAACCTTTCTTTTGTTTGAGCAGTTTTGAAACACTATTTTTGTAAAATCTGCAAGTGGATACTTGGCGCGCTTTGCGGCCTATGGTGGAAAAGCAAATATCTTCACATAAAAACTAGAGAGAAGCATTCTGACAAAGTTCTTTGTGTTGTGTGTGTTCAACTCACAGATTTGAGTCTTTCTTTTGATTGAGCAGTTTTGAAACACTCTTTTTTTAGAATCTGCAAGTGGATATTTCGAGTGTTTTGCAGCCTCTGTTGGAAAAGGAAATATCTTCACATAAACTAGACAGAAGCAATCTGAGAAACTTCTTTGTGATGTGTGCATTCATCTCACAGAGTTGAAACTTTCTTTTGATTGTGAAGTTTTCAAATACTCTTTTTGTAGAATCTGCAAGTGGATATTTGGAGGCCTTTGTGACCTACAGGGGAAAAAGAAATATCTTCACATAAAAACTAGACAGA
>NC_000021.9:10887197-10975219 GCF_000001405.40 Homo sapiens
AACATGATGAGAAACTGCTTTGTGATGCGTGCATTCATCACCAGTAGTTGAGTTTCTCTTTTGATTGAACAGTTTTGAAACACTCTTTCTGAAGAATCTGAAAGGGATATTTGGAGCGCTTTGCAGCCTATGGTGAAAAAGGAAATATCTTCACATAAAAGCTAGACAGAAGCATTCTAAGAAAGTGCTTTGTGACGTGTGCATTCATCTCACAGTGTTGAAGCTTTCTTTTGATTGAGCAGTTTTGAAACACTCTTATTGTAGAATCTGCAAGTGGATATTTGGAGAGTATGAGGCCACTGGTGGAAAAGCAAATATCTTCACATCAAAACTAGACAGAATCATTATAAGTAATCTCTTTGAGATGCGTGCATTCAACTCACAGAGTTGGACATTTCCTTTGATTGAGCAGTGTGGAAACAGTCTTTTTGCAGTATCTGCAAACGGATATTTGGAGCACTTTCAGGCCTATAGTAGGAAAGGAAATATCTTCACATAAAAACTACACAGAAAATTACTGAGAAACTTCTTAATGATGTGTGCATTCATCTCACAGAGTTGAAACTTTCTTTTGATTGAGCAGTTTGGAAACACTCTTTTAGTAGAAACTGCAAGGGGATATTTGGAGAGTTTTGTGGTCTATGGTAGAAAAGGATATATCTTCACATAAAAATAGAAGCATTCTGAGGAACTTCATGATGTGTGCATTCGTCTCAAGGAGTTGAACTTTTCTTTTGATTGAGCAGCTTTGAATAACTCTTTCTGCAGAATCTGCAAGTTGATATTTGGAGTGCTTTGTGGCCTATAGTAGAAAAGGAAATATCTTTACATAAAACTAGACAGAAGCATTCTGAGAAAATTTTTTGTGATGTGTGCATTCAACTCACAGAGTTGAACCTTTCTTTTGATCGAGGAGTTTGGAAGCAGTCTTTTTGTAATATCTACAAATGGATATTTGCATCACTTTACTTCATGGAATGGAAAAGGAAACATCTTAACATAAAAACTAGACAAAAGCATTCTGAGAAACTTCTTTGTGACGTGTGCATTCAACTCATGGAGTTCAACCTTTCTTTTGATTCAGCAGTTTGGAAACAGTCTTTTTACAGTATCTGCAAATGGCTATTTGGAGAGCATTGACGCCTATGGTGGAAAAGGAAATCTCTTCTCATAAAAACTAGACAGCAGCATTCTGAGAAACTTATTTGTGATCTGTGCATTCATCTCACAGAGTTGAACCTTTCTTTTGATTCAGCAGTTTTGAAACTGTCGTTTTGTAGAATCTGCAAAGGAATATTTGTGAGCCCATTGAGGCTTCTGGGGTGATAGGAAATATCTTCACATTAAAACTAGACAGATACTTTCGGAGAAACTATTTTGTCATGTGTGACTTCTACTCACAGGGTTGAAACTTTCTCTTGATTGAGCAGTTTGGAAACAGTCTTTTTGTAGAATCTGCAAATTGATATTTGGAGTGCTTTTGGCCTACGTTGAAAAACGAAATATCTTCCCATAAAAAGTAGGCAGAAGTTTTGGAGAAACTTATTTTGATGTGTGCATTCATCTCACACAGTTGAAATTTTCTTTTGATTGAGCAGTGTGGATACACTCGTTTTGTAGAGTCTGCAAGTGGATATTTGGAGCACTTTGTGGCCTATAGTGAAAAAGGAAATATCTTCACATAAAAACTAGATAGAAGAATTCTGAGAAACTTCCTTTGAATGGGCGCATTCATCTCACACTGTTGAACTTTTTTTTTTGATTGATCACCGTCTAAACAGTCATTTTGTAGAATATGCAAAGGAATATTTGTGAGCCCATTGATGCCTCTGGGGAAACAGGAAATATCTTCACATAAAAACGAGACAGAATCTTTCTCAGAAACTTCTTTGTGATGTGTGCATTCATCTCACTGAGTTGAACTTTATTTTTATTGAGCAGTTTGGAAACAGTCTTTTTCTAGTATCTGCAAATGGATATTTTAAGCGCTCTGAGGCCTACGGTGAAAAAGGAAATATCTTCAATATAAATCAGACAGAAGCATTCATAGAAACTTCTTTGTGAGGTGTGCATTCATCTCACAGATTAGAACTTTTCTTTTGATTTAGCAGTTTTGAAACACTCTTTTTGTAGAATCTGCAATGTATGTTTGAAGCGCATGAGGAATATGGTGGAAAAGGAATCTTCTTCACATAAAAACGAGACAGAAGCATTCTGAGAAACTTCTCTGTGATGGATGCATTCATTTCCCAGAGTTAAACCTTTCCTGTGATTGAGCGGTTTGGAAACAGTAGTTTTTTACAATCTGCAGAAGGATACTTGTGAGCCGATTGAGGTCTATGGGGTGATAAGAAATATGTTCACATAAAAACTAGATAGAAAGTTTCTGAGAAACTTCTTTGTGATATTTGCTTTTATCTCATAGAGTTGAAACTTTCTTTTTATTGAGCAGTTTGGGAACAGTCTTTTTGTAGTATCTGCAAATGGATATTACCAGGGCTTTGAGGCCTATGGTGAAAAAGGAAATATCTTCACATAAAAACAAGGCAGAAGCATTCTGAGAAACTTCTTTTTGATGTCTGCATTCATCTCACAGAGTTGAACCTTTCTTTTGATTGAGCAGTTTTGAAACGCTCTATTTGTAGTGTCTGCAAGTGGATATTTGGAACGCTTTGAGGCCTATAGTGGAAAAGGAAATATCTTCACATAAAAAACCAGAAAGAAAGAATTCTGAGAAACTTCCTAGGAAGGTTTATTTTCGTCTCACACTGTTAAACCCGTCTTTTGATTGAGCAGCTTCGATACAGTCTTTTAGTAGAATATGAAAGGGAATATTTGAGAGCCCATTGAGGCCTCTGGGGAAATAAGAAATATCTTCACCTAAAAACAAGACAAAACTTTCTGAGCAACTTCCTTGTGATGTGTGCATTTATCACACGCAGTTGAACTTTCTTTTGATTGAGCAGTTTGGAAACAGTCATTTGTATTATCTATAAATGGATATTTGGAGTGTAATGAGGCCTATGGTGAAAAAGGAAATATCTTCACATAAAAATCAGATGGAAGCATTCTTAGAAACTCCTTTGTGTTGTGTTCATTCATCTCACAGACTTCAAACTTTCTAATGATTGAGCAGTTTTGAAACTCTCTTTTTGTAGAATCTGCCAGTGGATATTTGGAGCGCTCTGTGGCCAATAGTGGATAAGGAAATATCTTCATAAAAAAAATAAACAGAAGCACTTTAAGAAAGTTCTCTGTGTTGTATGCAGTCATATCTCAGACATGAAACTTTCTTTGGTACAGCAGTTTTAAAACACTCTTTTTGGAGATTCTGAAAGTAGATATTTGGAGAGACTTGAGGACTACGGTGGAAAAGGAAATATCTTCACAAAAAAACTAGACAGACAAAAAAGAAACATTCTGAGAAGCTTCTTTGTGATGTGTGCGTCCATCTCGAAGAGTTGAACCTTTCTTTTGATTGCGCATTTTTGAGGCACTCTTTTTGTAGAATCTTCAAGTGGATATTTGGAGGGTTTGTGGCCTGTGGTGGAAAAGCAAATATATTCACATAAAAACTAGATAGAAGCATTCTGAGAGCTTCTTTGTGATGTGCTCATTCAACTCACAGAGTTGAGCTTTTCTTTTGATTGAGCAGTTTGGAAACAGTCTTTTTGTAGAATCTGCAGGTGGATATTTGGAGCGCATTACGGCCTATAGTGGAAAAGGAAATATATTCACATAAAAACTAGACAGAAGCATTCTGAGAAACTTCTTTGTGATGTGCTCATTCAACTCACAGAGTTGAACTTTTCTTTTGTTTGAGCAGTTTGCAATCAGTCTTTTTGTAGAATCTGCAAGTGGATATTAGGAGTGCATTACGGCCTATAGTGGAAAATGAAATAACTTCACATAAAAAATAGACAGAAACGTTATGAGAAACTGCTTTGTGATGCTTGCATTCATCACCAGAGTTGAGTTTCTCTTTTGATTGAACAGTTTTGAAACACTCTTTCTGTAGAATCTGAAAGGGATATTTGGAGCGCTTTGCAGCCTATGGTGAAAAAGCAAATATCTTCACATAAAAGCTAGACAGAAGCATTCTAAGAAAGTGCTTTGTGACGTGTGCATTCATCTCACAGTGTTGAACCTTTCTTTTGATTGAGCACTTTTGAAACACTCTTATTGTAGAATCTGCAAGTGGATATTTCGAGAGTTTGAGGCCACTGGTGGAAAAGCAAATATCTTCACATCAAAACTAGACAGGATCATTATAAGTAATCTCTTTGAGATGCGTGCATTCAACTCACAGAGTTGGACGTTTCCTTTGATTGAGCAGTTTGGAAACAGTCTTTTTGCAGTATCTGCAAGCGGATATTTGGAGCACTTTCAGGCCTATAGTAGGAAAGGAAATATCTTCACCTAAAAACTAGACAGAAAATTACTGAGAAACTTCTTAATGATGTGTGCATTCATCTCACAGAGTTGAAACTTCTTTTGATTGAGCCGTTTGGAAACTCTCTTTTAGTAGAAACTGCAAGGGGATATTTGGAGCGTTTTGTGGTCTATGGTAGAAAAGGCTATATCTTCACATAAAAATAGAAGCATTCTGAGGAACTTCATGATGTGTGCATTCATCACAAAGAGTTGAACTTTTCTTTTGATTGAGCAGCTTTGAAAAACTCTTTCTGCAGAATCTGCAAGTTGATATTTGGAGTGCTTTGTGGCCTATAGTAGAAAAGGAAATATCTTTACATAAAACTAGACAGAAGCATTCTGAGAAACTTCTTTGTGATGTGTGCATTCATCTCACAGAGTTGAATCTTTCTTTTGTTTGAGCAGTTTTGAAACTCTCTTTTTGTAGAATCTTCAAGTGGATATTTTCAGCGCTTTGAGGCCTATGTTGGAAAAGAAAATATCTTCACATAAAAACTAGTCAGAAGCATTCTGAGAAACTTCTTTGTGACGTGTGCATTCAACTCATGGAGTTCAACCTTTCTTTTGATTCAGCAGTTTGGAAACAGTCTTTTTACAGTATCTGCAAATGGATATTTGGAGAGCTTTGAGGCCTATGGTGGAAAAGGAAATCTCTTCCCATAAAAACTAGACAGCAAGCATTCTGAGAAACTTCTGCCTGATGGGTGTATTCACTTCACGGAGTTGAACCTTTCCTTGTATTGAACAGTTTGGAAACAATCGTTTCGTAGAATCTGCAGAGGGATATTTTTGAGCCCATTGAGACGTATGGGGTGATAGGAAATATCTTCACATAAAAACTAGACAGATACTTTCTGAGAAACTATTTTGTCATGTGTGACTTCTACTCACTGGGTTGAAACTTTCTCTTGATTGAGCAGTTTGGAAACAGTCTTTTTGTAGAATCTGCAAATTGATATTTGGAGTGCTTTTGGCCTACGTTGTAAAACGAAATATCTTCCCATATAAAGTAGGCAGAAGTTTTGGAGAAATTTATTTTGATGTGTGCATTCATCTCACACAGTTGAAATTTTCTTTTGATTGAGCAGTGTGGATACACTCGTTTTGTAGAGTCTGCAAGTGGATATTTGGAGCACTTTGCGGCCTATAGTGAAAAAGGAAATATCTTCACATAAAAACTAGATAAAAGAATTCTGAGAAACTTCCTTTGAATGGGCGCATTCATCTCACACTGTTGAACTCTTTTTTTGATTGAGCACCTTCTAAACAGTCATTTTGTAGAATATGCAAAGGAATATTTGTGAGCCCATTGATGCCTCTGGGGAAACAGGAAATATCTTCACATAAAAACGAGACAGAATCTTTCTCAGAAACGTCTTGGTGATGTGTGCATTCATCTCACTGAGTTGAACTTTATTTTGATTGAGCAGTTTGGAAACAGTCTTTTCTACTATCTGCAAATGGATATTTGAAGCACTCTGAGGCCTACGGTGAAAAAGGAAATATCTTCAATATAAATCAGACAGAAGCATTCATAGAAACTTCTTTGTGATGTGTGCATTCATCTCACCGACTAGAACCTTTCTTTTGATTGAGCAGTTTTGAAACACTCTTTTAGCGGAATCTGCAAGTGTTTATTTGGAGCGCATGAGGAATATGGTGGAAAAGGAATATTCTTCACATGGAAACGAGACGGAAGCATTCTGAGAAACTTCTCTGTGATGGATGCATTCATTTCACAGAGTTAAACCTTTCCTGTGATTGAACGGTTTGGAAACAGTAGTTTTTTACACTCTGCAGAAGGATACTTGTGAGCTGATTGAGGTCTATGGGGAGATAAGAAATATGTTCACATAAAAACTAGATAGAAAGATTCTGAGAAACTTCTTTGTGATATTTGCTTTTATCTCATAGAGTTGAAACTTTCTTTTTATTGAGCAGTTTGGGAACAGTCTTTTTGTAGTATCTGCAAATGGATATTACCAGTGCTTTGAGGCCTATGGTGAAAAAGGAAATATCTTCACATAAAAACAAGGCAGAAGCATTCTGAGAAACTTCTTTTTGATGTCTGCATTCATCTCACAGAGTTGAACCTTTCTTTTGATTGAGCAGTTTAGAAACGCTCTATTTGTAGTATCTGCAAGTGGATATTTGGAACGCTTTGAGGCCTATAGTGGAAAAGGAAATATCTTCACATAAAAACCTAGAAAGAAGAATTCTGAGAAACTTCCTAGGAATGTGTACTTTCTTCTCACACTGTTGAACCTTTCTTTTGATTGAGCAGCTTCGATACAGTCATTTAGTAGAATCTGAAAGAGAATATTTGAGAGCCCATTGAGGCCTCTTGGGAAATAAGAAATATCTTCACCTAAAAACTAGACAAAAATTTTCTGAGAAACACCCTTGTGATGTGTGCATTCATCATACACAGTTGAACTTTCTTTTGATTGAGCAGTTTGGATACAGTCATTTGTACTATCTGTAAATGGATATTTGGAGTGTACTGAGGCCTATGGTGAAAAAGGAAATATCCTCACATAAAATTCAGATGGAAGCATTCTTAGAAACTCCTTTGTGATGTGTGCACTCATCTCACAGACTTCAAACTTTCTATTGATTGAGCAGTTTTGAAACACTCTTTTTGTAGAATCTGCCAGTGGATATTTGGAGCGCTACTGTGGCCCATAGTGGAAAAGGAAATATCTTCATAAAAAAAATAAACAGAAGCACCTTGAGAAAGTTCTCTGTGTTGTATGCAGTCATATCTCAGACATGAAACTTTCTTTGGTACAGCAGTTTTAAAACACTCTTTTTGGAGATTCTGAAAGTAGGTATTTGGAGAGACTTGAGGACTACGGTGGAAAAGGAAATATCTTCACAAAAAAAGTAGACAGAAGCATTCTGAGAAGCTTCTTTGTGATATGTGCATCCATCTCAAAGAGTTGAACCTTTCTTTTGATTGAGCATTTTTGAAGCACTCTTTTTGTAGAATCTTCAAGTGGATATTTGGAATGCTTTGTGGCCTGTGGTGGAAAAGGAAATATCTTCACATAAAAACTAGACAGAAGCATTCTGAGAAACTTCTTTGTGATGTGCTCATTCAACTCACAGAGTTGAGCTTTTCTTTTGATTGAGCAGTTTGGAAACAGTCTTTTTGTAGAATCTGCAAGTGGATATTTGGAGCGCATGACGACCTATAGTGGAAAAGGAAATATATTCACATAAAAACTAGACAGAAGCATTCTGAGAAACTTCTTTGTGATGTGCTCATTCAACTCACAGAGTTGAACTTTTCTTTTGTTTGAGCAGTTTGCAAACAGTCTTTTTGTAGAATCTGCAAGTGGATATTAGGAGTGTATTACGGCCTATAATGGAGAATGAAATATCTTCACATAAAAACTAGACAGAAACATTATGAGAAACTGCTTTGTGATGCGTGCATTCATCACCAGAGTTGAGTTTCTCTTTTGATTGAACAGTTTTGAAACATTCTTTCTGTAGAATCTGAAAGGGATATTTGCAGCGCTTTGCAGCCTATGGTGAAAAAGGAAATATCTTCACATAAAAGCTAGACAGAAGCATTCTGGGAAAATTCTTTGTGATGTGTGCATTCAACTAACACTGTTGAACCCTTCTTTTGATTGAGCAATTTTGAAACACTCTTTTTGTAGAATCTGCAAGTGTATATTTGGAGTGCTTTGCAGACTACAGTTTAAAAGGGAATATCTTCACCTAAAAACTAGACAGAATCATTATAAGTAATCTCTTTGAGATGCATGCATTCAACTCACAGAGTTGGACATTTCCTTTGATTGAGCAGTGTGGAAACAGTCTTTTTGCAGTATCTGCAAACGGATATTTGCAGCACTTTCAGGCCTATAGTAGGAAAGGAAATATCTTCACATAAAAACTAGACAGAAAATTACTGAGACACTTCTTAATGATGTGTGCATTCATCTCACAGAGTTGAAACTTTCTTTTGATTGAGCCGTTTGGAAACACTCTTTTAGTAGAAACTGCAAGGGGATATTTGGAGCGTTTTGTGGTCTATGGTAGAAAAGGATATATCTTCACATAAAAATAGAAGCATTCTGAGGAACTTCATGATGTGTGCATTCATCTCAAAGAGTTGAACTTGTCTTTTGACTGAGCAGCTTTGAAAAACTCTTTCTGCAGAATCTGCAAGTTGATATTTGGAGTGCTTTGTGGCCTATAGTAGAAAAGGAAATATCTTTACATAAAACTAGACAGAAGCATTCTTAGAAACTACTTTGTGAGGAGTGCATTCATCTCACAGACTTCAACCTTTCTTTTGATTGAGCAGTTTTGAAACACTCTTTTTGCAGGATCTGCAAGTGTATATTTGAAGCGCTTTGAGGCCTGTGGTGGAAAAGGAAACATCTTCACATAAAAACTAGACACAAGCTTTCTGAGAAACTTCTTTGTGATGTGTGCATTCAACTCATGTAGTTGAACCTTTCTTTTGATTCAGCAGTTTGGAAACAGTCTTTTTGTAGTATCTGCAAATGGATATTTGGAGAGCTTTGAGGCCTATGGTGGAAAAGGAAATATCTTCACATAAAAACTAGACAGAAGCATTCTGAGAAACTTATTTGTGATCTGTGCATTCATCTCACAGAGTTGAACCTTTCTTTTGATTCAGCAGTTTTGAAACTGTCGTTTTGTAGAATCTGCAAAGGAATATTTGTGAGCCCATTGAGGCTTCTGGGGTAATAGGAAATATCTTCACATAAAAACTAGACAGATACTTTCTGAGAAACTATTTTGTCATGTGTGACTTCTACTCACCGGGTTGAAACATTCTGTTGATTGAGCAGTTTGGAAACAGTCTTTTTGTAGAATCTGCAAATTGATATTTGGAGTGCTTTTGGCCTACGTTGAAAAACGAAATATCTTCCCATAAAAAGTAGGCAGAAATTTTGGAGAAATTTATTTTGATGTGTGCATTCATCTCACACAGTTGAAATTTTCTTTTGATTGAGCAGTGTGGATACACTCGTTTTGTAGAGTCTGCAAGTGGATATTTGGAGCACTTTGTGGCCTATAGTGAAAAAGGAAATATCTTCACATAAAAACTAGATAGAAGAATTCTGAGAAACTTCCTTTGAATGGGCGCATTCATCTCACACTGTTGAACTTCTTTTTTGATTGAGCACCTTCTAAACAGTCATTTTGTAGAATATGCAAAGGAATATTTGTGAGCCCATTGATGCCTCTGGGGAAACAGGAAATATCTTCACATAAAAACGAGACAGAATCTTTCTCAGAAACGTCTTGGTGATGTGTGCATTCATCTCACTGAGTTGAACTTTATTTTGATTGAGCAGTTTGGAAACAGTCTTTTCTAGTATCTGCAAATGGATATTTTAAACACTCTGAGGCCTACGGTGAAAAAGGAAATATCTTCAATATAAATCAGACAGAAGCATTCATAGAAACTTCTTTGTGATGTGTGCATTCATCTCACCGACTAGAACCTTTCTTTTGATTGAGCAGTTTTGAAACACTCTTTTAGCGGAATCTGCAAGTGTTTATTTGGAGCGCATGAGGAATATGGTGGAAAAGGAATCTTCTTCACATGAAAACGGACGGAAGCATTCTGAGAAACTTCTCTGTGATGGATGCATTCATTTCACAGAGTTAAACCTTTCCTGTGACTGAGCGGTTTGGAAACAGTAGTTTTTTACAATCTGCAGAAGGATACTTGTGAGCCGATTGAGGTCTATGGGGTGATAAGAAATATGTTCACATAAAAACTAGATAGAAAATTTATGAGAAACTTCTTTGTGATATTTGCTTTCATCTCACAGAGTTGAAACTTTCTTTTGATTGAGCAGTTTGGGAACAGTCTTTTTGTAGTATCTGCAAATGGATATTACCAGTGCTTTGAGACCTATGGTGAAAAAGGAAATATCTTCCCATAAATACAAGGCAGAAGAATTCTGAGAAACTTCTTTTTGATGTCTGCATTCATCTCACAGAGTTGAACCTTTCTTTTGATTGAGCAGTTTTGAAACGCTCTATTTGTAGTATCTGCAAGTGGATATTTGGAACGCTTTGAGGCCTATAGTGGAAAAGGAAATATCTTCACATAAAAAACTAGAAAGAAGAATTCTGAGAAACTTCCTAGGAATGTGTGCTTTCTTCTCACACTGTTGAACCTTTCTTTTGATTGAGCAGCTTCGATACAGTCATTTAGTAGAATCTGAAAGAGAATATTTGAGAGCCCATTGAGGCCTCTTGGGAAATAAGAAATATCTTCATCTAAAAACTAGACAAAAACTTTCTGAGAAACACCCTTGTGATGTGTGCATTCATCATACACAGTTGAACTTTCTTTTGATTGAGCAGTTTGGATACAGTCATTTGTATTATCTGTAAATGGATATTTGGAATGTACTGACGCCTATGGTGAAAAAGGAAATATCCTCACATAAAATTCAGATGGAAGCATTCTTAGAAACTCCTTTGTGATGTGTACATTCATCTCACAGACTTCAAACTTTCTATTGATTGAGCAGTGTTGAAACACTCTTTTTGTAGAATCTGCCAGTGGATATTTGGAGCGCTCTGTGGCCAATAGTGGAAAAGGAAATATCTTCATCAAAAAAATAAACAGAAGCACTTTGAGAAACTTCTCTGTGTTGTATGCAGTCATATCTCAGACATGAAACTTTCTTTGGTACAGCAGTTTTAAAACACTCTTTTTGGAGATTCTGAAAGTAGATATTTGGAGAGACTTGAGGACTACGGTGGAAAAGGAAATATCTTCACCAAAAAACTAGACAGAAACATTCTGAGAAGCTTCTTTGTGATGTGTGCATCCATCTCGAAGAGTTGAACCTTTCTTTTGATTGAGCATTTTTGAAGCACTCTTTTTGTAGAATCTTCAAGTGGATATTTGGAGTGTTTGTGGCCTGTGGTGGAAAAGGAAATATATTCACATAAAAACTAGATAGAAGCATTCTGAGAAACTTCTTTGTGATGTGCTCATTCAACTCACAGAGTTGAGCTTTTCTTTTGATTGAGCAGTTTGGAAACAGTCTTTTTGTAGAATCTGCAAGTGGATATTTGGAGCGCATGATGGCCTATAGTGGAAAAGGAAATATATTCACATAAAAACTAGACAGAAGCATGCTGAGAAACTTCTTTGTGATGCGTGCATTCAACTAAAAAAGTTGAACATTTCTTTTGATTGAGTAGTTTGGAAACAGTCTTTTTGTAGAATCTGCAAGTGGATATTTGGAGTGCTTTACGGCCTATAGTGGAAAACGAAATACCTTCACATAAAAACTAGACAGAAACATTATGAGAAACTGCTTTGTGATGCGTGCATTCATCACCAGAGTTGAATTTCTCTTTTGATTGATCAGTTTTGAAACACTCTTTCTGTAGAATCTGAAAGGGATATTTGGAGCGCTTTGCAGCCTATGGTGAAAAAGGAAATATCTTCACATAAAAGCTAGACAGAAGCATTCTAAGAAAGTGCTTTGTGACGTGTGCATTCATCTCACAGTGTTGAACCTTTCTTTTGATTGAGCAGTTTTGAAACACTCTTATTGTAGAATCTGCAAGTGGATATTTGGAGAGTTTGAGGTCACTGGTGGAAAAGCAAATATCTTCACATCAAAACTAGACAGAATCATTATAAGTAATCTCTTTGAGATGCAGTGCATTCAACTCACAGAGTTGGACCGTTTCCTTTGATTGAGCAGTTTGGAAACAGTCTTTTTGCAGTATCTGCAAGCGGATATTTGGAGCACTTTCAGGCCTATAGTAGGAAAGGAAATATCTTCACATAAAAACTAGACAGAAAATTACTGAGAAACTTCTTTATGATGTGTGCATTCATCTCACAGAGTTGAAACTTTCTTTTGATTGAGCAGTTTGGAAACACTCTTTTAGTAGAAACTGCAAGGGGATATTTGGAGCGTTTTGTGGTCTATGGCAGAAAAGGCTATATCTTCACATAAAAATAGAAGCATTCTGAGGAACTTCATGATGTGTGCATTAATCTCAAAGAGTTGAACTTTTCTTTTGATTGAGCAGCTTTGAAAATCTCTTTCTGCAGAATCTGCAAGTTGATATTTGGAGTGCTTTGTGGCCTATAGTAGAAAAGGAAATATCTTTACATAAAACTAGACAGAAGCATTCTCAGAAACTTCTTTGTGATGTGTGCATTCATCTCACAGACTTCAAACTTTCTATTGATTGAGCAGTTTTGAAACACTCTTTTTGCAGTATCTGCAAGTGTATATTTGAAGTGCTTTGAGGCTTCTGGTGGAAAAGGAAGCATCTTCACATAAAAACTAGACACAAGCATTCTGAGAAACTTCTTTGTGACGTGTGCATTCAACTCATGGAGTTCAACCTTTCTTTTGATTCAGCAGTTTGGAAACAGTCTTTTTACAGTATCTGCAGATGGATATTTGGAGAGCTTTGAGGCCTATGGTGGAAAAGGAAATCTCTTCCCATAAAAACTAGACAGCAGCATTCTGAGAAACTTATTTGTGATCTGTGCATTCATCTCACGGAGTTGAACCTTTCTTTTGATTCAGCAGTTTTGAAACTGTCGTTTTGTAGAATCTGCAAAGGAATATTTGTGAGCCCATGGAGGCTTCTGGGGTGATAGGAAATATCTTCACATAAAAACTAGACAGATACTTTCTGAGAAACTATTTTGTCATGTGTGACTTCTACTCACCAGGTTGAAACTTTCTCTTGATTGAGCAGTTTGGAAACAGTCTTTTTGTAGAATCTGCAAATTGATATTTGGAGTGCTTCTGGCCTACGTTGAAAAACGAAATATCTTCCCATAAAAAGTAGGCAGAAGTTTTGGAGAAATTTATTTTGATGTGTGCATTCATCTCACACAGTTGAAATTTTCTTTTGATTGAGCAGTGTGGATACACTCGTTTTGTAGCGTCTGCAAGTGGATATTTGGAGCACTTTGTGGCCTACAGTGAAAAAGGAAATATCTTCACATAAAAACTAGATAGAAGAATTCTGAGAAACTTCCTTTGAATGGGCGCATTCATCTCACACTGTTGAACTTTTTTTTTTGATTGAGCACCTTCTAAACAGTCATTTTGTAGAATATGCAAAGGAATATTTGTGAGCCCATTGATGCCTCTGGGGAAACAGGAAATATCTTCACATAAAAACGAGACAGAAATCTTTCTCAGAAACGTCTTGGTGATGTGTGCATTCATCTCACTGAGTTGAACTTTATTTTGATTGAGCAGTTTGGAAACAGTCTTTTCTAGTATCTGCAAATGGATATTTTAAGCACTCTGAGGCCTACAGTGAAAAAGGAAATATCTTCAATATAAATCAGACAGAAGCATTCATAGAAACTTCTTTGGGATGTGTGCATTCATCTCACCGACTAGAACCTTTCTTTTGATTGAGCAGTTTTGAAACACTCTTTTAGCGGAATCTGCAAGTGTTTATTTGGAACGCATGAGGAATATGGTGGAAAAGGAATCTTCTTCACATGAAAACGAGACGGAAACATTCTGAGAAACTTTTCTGTGATGGGCGCATTCATTTCACAAAGTTAAACCCTTCCTGTGATTGAATGGTTTGGAAACATTTGTTTTGTATAATCTGCAGAAGGATATTTTTGAGCTGATTGAGGCCTATGGGGCGATAGGAAATATGTTCACATAAAAACTAGACAGAAAGTTTCTGAGAAACTTCTTTGTGATATTTGCTTTTATCTCATAGAGTTGAAACTTTATTTTTATTGAGCAGTTTGGGAACAGTCTTTTTGTAGTATCTGCAAATGGATATTACCAGTGCTTTGAGGCCTATTTTGAAAAAGGAAATATCTTCACATAAAAACAAGGCAGAAGCATTCTGAGAAACTTCTTTTTGATGTCTGCATTCATCTCACAGAGTTGAACATTTCTTTTGATTGAGCAGTTTTGAAACGCTCTATTTGTAGTATCTGCAAGTGGATATTTGGAACGCTTTGAGGCCTATAGTGGAAAAGGAAATATCTTCACATAAAAAACTAGAAAGAAGAATTCTGAGAAACTTCCTAGGAAGCTGTATTTTCGTCTCACACTGTTAAACCCGTCTTTTGATTGAGCAGCTTCGATACAGTCATTTAGTAGAATATGAAAGGGAATATTTGAGAGCCCATTGAGGCCTCTGGGGAAATAAGAAATATCTTCACCTAAAAACTAGACAAAATCTTTCTGAGAAACCCCCTTGTGATGTGTGCATTCATCATGCACAGTTGAAATTTCTTTTGATTGAGCAGTTTGGATACAGTCATTTGTATTTTCTGTAAATGGATATTTGGAGTGTATTGAGGCCTATGGTGAAAAAGGAAATATCCTCACATAAAATTCAGATGGAAGCATTCTTAGAAACTCCTATGTGATGTGTGCATTCATCTCACAGACTTCAAACTTTCTATTGATTGAGCAGTTTTGAAACACTCTTTTTGTAGAATCTGCCAGTGGATATTTGGAGCGTTCTGTTGCCCATAGTGGAAAAGGAAATATCTTCATAAAAAAAATAAACAGAAGCACTTTGAGAAAGTTTTCTGTGTTGTATGCAGTCATAACTCAGACATGAAACTTTCTTTGGTACAGCAGTTTTAAAACACTCTTTTTGGAGATTCTGAAAGTAGATATTTGGAGAGACTTGAGGACTACGGTGGAAAAGGAAATATCTTCACAAAAAAACTAGACAGAAACATTCTGAGAAGCTTCTTTGTGATGTGTGCGTCCATTTCGAAGAGTTGAACCTTTCTTTTGATTGAGCATTTTTGAAGCACTCTTTTTGTAGAATCTTCAAGTGGATATTTGGAGGGTTTGTGGCCTGTGGTGGAAAAGGAAATATATTCACATAAAAACTAGATAGAAGCATTCTGAGAAACTTCTTTGTGATGTGCTCATACAACTCACAGAGTTGAGCTTTTCTTTTGATTGAGCAGTTTGGAAACAGTCTTTTTGTAGAATCTGCAAGTGGATATTAGGAGTGCATTACGGCCTATAGTGGAAAAGGAAATATATTCACATAAAAACTAGACAGAAGCATGCTGAGAAACTTCTTTGTGATGTGCTCATTCAACTCACAGAGTTGAACTTTTCTTTTGTTTGAGCAGTTTGCAAACAGTCTTTCTGTAGAATCTGCAAGTGGATATTAGGAGTGCATTACGGCCTATAGTGGAAAATGAAATATCTTCACATAAAAACTAGACAGAAATATTATGAGAAACTGCTTTGTGATGCGTGCATTCATCACCAGAGTTGAGTTTCTCTTTTGATTGAACAGTTTTGAAACTCTCTTTCTGTAGAATCTGAAAGGGATATTTGGAGCGCTTTGCAGCCTATGGTGAAAAAGGAAATATCTTCACATAAAAGCTAGACAGATGCATTCTAAGAAAGTGCTTTGTGACGTGTGCATTCATCTCACAGTGTTGAAGCTTTCTTTTGATTGAGCAGTTTTGAAACACTCTTATTGTAGAATCTGCAAGTGGATATTTGGAGAGTTTGAGGTCACTGGTGGAAAAGCAAATATCTTCACATCAAAACTAGACAGAATCATTATAAGTAATCTCTTTGAGATGCGTGCATTGAACTCACAGAGTTGGACATTTCCTTTGATTGAGCAGTGTGGAAACAGTCTTTTTGCAGTATCTGCAAACGGATATTTGGAGCACTTTCAGGCCTATAGTAGGAAAGGAAATATCTTCACATAAAAACTAGACAGAAAATTACTGAGAAACTTCTTAATGATGTGTGCATTCATCTCACAGAGTTGAAACTTCTTTTGATTGAGCAGTTTGGAAACACTCTTTTAGTAGAAACTGCAAGGGGATATTTGGAGCGTTTTGTGGTCTATGGTAGAAAAGGATATGTCTTCACATAAAAATAGAAGCATTCTGAGGAACTTCTTCATGACGTGTGCATTCATCTCAAAGAGTTGAACTTTTCTTTTGATTGAGCAGCTTTGAAAAACTCTTTCTGCAGAATCTGCAAGTTGATATTTGGAGTACTTTGCGGCCTATAGTAGAAAAGGAAATATCTTCACATAAAACTAGACAGAAGCATTCTGAGAAACTTCTTTGTGATGTGTGCATTCATCTCACAGAGTTGAATCTTTCTTTTGTTTGAGCAGTTTTGAAACTCTCTTTCTGTAGAATCTTCAAGTGGATATTTTTAGCGCTTTGAGGCCTATGGTGGAAAAGAAAATATCTTCACATAAAAACTAGTCAGAAGAATTCTGAGAAACTTCTTTGTGACGTGTGCATTCAACTCATGGAGTTCAACCTTTCTTTTGATTCAGCAGTTTGGAAACAGTCTTTTTACAGTATCTGCAAATGGCTATTTGGAGAGCTTTGAGGCCTATGGTGGAAAAGGAAATCTCTTCCCATAAAAACTAGACAGCAGCATTCTGAGAAACTTATTTGTGATCTGTGCATTCATCTCACAGAGTTGAACCTTTCTTTTGATTCAGCAGTTTTGAAACTGTCGTTTTGTAGAATCTGCAAAGGAATATTTGTGAGCCCATTGAGGCTTCTGGGGTGATAAGAAATATCTTCACATAAAAACTAGACAGATACTTTCTGAGAAACTATTTTGTCATGTGTGACTTCTACTCACCAGGTTGAAACTTTCTCTTGATTGAGCAGTTTGGAAACAGTCTTTTTGTAGAATCTGCAAATTGATATTTGGAGTGCTTTTGGCCTACGTTGAAAAACGAAATATCTTCCCATAAAAAGTAGGCAGAAGTTTTGGAGAAATTTATTTTGATGTGTGCATTCATCTCACACAGTTGAAATTTTCTTTTGATTGAGCAGTGTGGATACACTCGTTTTGTAGAGTCTGCAAGTGGATATTTGGAGCACTTTGTGGCCTACAGTGAAAAAGGAAATATCTTCACATAAAAACTAGATAGAAGAATTCTGAGAAACTTCCTTTGAATGTGCGCATTCATCTCACATTGTTGAACTTTTTTTTTTGATTGAGCACCTTCTAAACAGTCATTTTGTAGAATATGCAAAGGAATATTTGTGAGCCCATTGATGCCTCTGGGGAAATAGGAAATATCTTCACATAAAAACGAGACAGAATCTTTCTCAGAAACGTCTTGGTGATGTGTGCATTCATCTCACTGAGTTGAACTTTATTTTGATTGAGCAGTTTGGAAAGTGTCTTTTCTAGTATCTGCAAATGGATATTTTAAGCACTCTGAAGCCTACGGTGAAAAAGGAAATATCTTCAATATAAATCAGACAGAAGCATTCATAGAAACTTCTTTGTGATGTGTGCATTCGTCTCACCGACTAGAACCTTTCTTTTGATTGAGCAGTTTTGAAACACTCTTTTAGCAGAATCTGCAAGTGTTTATTTGGAGTGCATGAGGAATATGGTGGAAAAGGAATCTTCTTCACATAAAAACGAGACAGAAGCATTCTGAGAAACTTCTCTGTGATGGGTGCATTCATTTCACAGAGTTAAACCTTTCCTGTGATTGAGCGGTTTGGAAACAGTCGTTTTTTATAATCTGCAGAAGGATACTTGTGAGCCGATTGAGGTCTATGGGGTGATAAGAAATATGTTCACATAAAAACTAGATAGAAAGTTTCTGAGAAACTTCTTTGTGATATTTGCTTTTATCTCCTAGAGTTGAAACTTTCTTTTTATTGAGCAGTTTGGGGACAGTCTTTTTGTAGTATCTGCAAATGGATATTACCAGTGCTTTGAGGCCTATGGTGAAAAAGGAAATATCTTCACATAAAAACAAGGCGGAAGCATTCTGAGAAACTTCTTTTTGATGTCTGCATTCATCTCACAGAGTTGAACCTTTCTTTTGATTGAGCAGTTTTGAAAGGCTCTATTTGTAGGATCTGCAAGTGGATATTTGGAACGCTTTGAGGCCTATAGTGGAAAACGAAATATCTTCACATAAAAACCTAGAAGGAAGAATTCTGAGAAACTTCCTAGGAAGGTGTATTTTCGTCTCACACTGTTAAACCCGTCTTTTGATTGAGCAGCTTCGATACAGTCATTTAGTAGAATATGAAAGGGAATATTTGAGATCCCATTGAGGCCTCTGGGGAAATAAGAAATATCTTCACCTAAAAACAAGACAAAAACTTTCTGAGAAACACCCTTGTGATGTGTGCATTCATCATACACAGTTGAACTTTCTTTTGATTGAGCAGTTTGGATACAGTCATTTGTATTATCTGTAAATGGATATTTGGAGTGTACTGAGGCCTATGGTGAAAAAGGAAATATCCTCACATAAAATTCAGATGGAAGCATTCTTAGAAACTCCTTTGTGATGTGTACATTCATCTCACACACTTCAAACTTTCTACTGATTGAGCAGTTTTGAAACACTCTTTTTGTAGAATCTGCCAGTGGATATTTGGAGCGCTCTGTGGCCCATAGTGGAAAAGGAAATATCTTCATAAGAAAAATAAACAGAAGCACTTTGAGAAAGTTCTCTGTGTTGTATGCAGTCATAACTCAGACATGAAACTTTCTTTGGTACAGCAGTTTTAAAACACTCTTTATGGAGATTCTGAAAGTAGATATTTGGAGAGACTTGAGGACTACGGTGGAAAAGGAAATATCTTCACAAAAAAACTAGACAGAAACATTCTGAGAAGCTTCTTTGTGATGTGTGCATCCATCTCAAAGCAGTTGAACCTTTCTTTTGATTGAGCATTTTTGAAGCACTCTTTTTGTAGAATCTTCAAGTGGATATTTGGAGTGTTTGTGGCCTGTGGTGGAAAAGGAAATATATTCACATAAAAACTAGATAGAAGCATTCTGAGAAACTTCTTTGTGATGTGCTCATTCATCTCACAGAGTTGAACTTTTCTTTTGATTGAGCAGTTTGGAAACAGTCTTTTTGTAGAATCTGCAGGTGGATATTTGGAGCGCATTACGGCCTATAGTGGAAAAGGAAATATATTCACATAAAAACTAGACAGAAGCATTCTGAGAAACTTATTTGTGATGTGCTCATTCAACTCACAGATTTAAACTTTTCTTTTGATTGAGCAGTTTGGAAACAGTCTTTTTGTAGTACCTGCAAATGGATATTTGGAGTGCTTTGGGGCCTGTGGTGGAAAAGGAAATATATACACACAAAAACTAGACAGATAAATATTATGAGAAACTGCTCTGTGATGCGTGCATTCATCACCAGGGTTGAACCTTTCTTTTGATTGAACAGTTTTGAAACACTCTTTCTGTAGAATCTGAAGGGGATATTTGGAACGCCTTGCGGCCTATGGTGAAAAACGAAATATCTTCACATAAAAACTAGACAGAAGCATTCTAAGAAAGTGCTTTGTGACGTGTGCATTCATCTCACAGTGTTGAACCTTTCTTTGATTGAGCAGTTTTGAAACACTCTTATTGTAGAATCTGCAAGTGGATATTTGGAGAGTTTGAGGCCACTGGTGGAAAAGCAAATATCTTCACATCAAAACTAGACAGAATCATTATGAGTAATCTCTTTGAGATGCGTGCATTCAACTCACAGCATTTGGACATTTCCTTTGATTGAGCAGTTTGGAAACAGTCTTTTTGCAGTATCTGCAAACGGATATTTGGAGCACTTTCAGGCCTATAGTAGGAAAGGAAATATCTTCACATAAAAACTAGACAGAAAATTACTGAGAAACTTCTTATTGATGAGTGCATTCATCTCACAGAGTTGAAACTTCTTTTGATTGAGCAGTTTGGAAACACTCTTTTAGTAGAAACTGCAAGGGGATATTTGGAGCGTTTTGTCGTCTATGGTAGAAAAGGCTATATCTTCACATAAAAATAGAAGCATTCTGAGGAACTTCCTGATGTGTGCATTCATCTCAAAGAGTTGAACTTTTCTTTTGATTGAGCAGCTTTGAAAAACTCTTTCTGCAGAATCTGCAAGTTGATATTTGGAGTGCTTTGTGGCCTATAGTAGAAAAGGAAATATCTTTACATAAAACCAGACAGAAGCATTCTTAGAAACTTCTTTGTGATGTGTACATTCATCTCACAGACTTCAACCTTTCTTTTGATTGAGCAGTTTTGAAACACTCTTTTTGCAAGATCTGCAAGTGTATATTTGAAGCACTTTGAGGCCTCTGGTGGAAAAGGAAACATCTTCACATAAAAGCTAGACACAAGCATTCTGAGAAACGCCTTTGTGACGTGTGCATTCAACTCATGGAGTTCAACCTTTCTTTTGATTCAGCAGTTTGGAAACAGTCTTTTTACAGTGTCTGCAAATGGATATTTGGAGAGCTTTGAGGCCTATGGTGGAAAAGGAAATATCTTCCCATAAAAACTAGACAGCAGCATTCTGAGAAACTTATTTGTGATCTGTGCATTCATCTCCCAGAGTTGAACCTTTCTTTTGATTCAGCAGTTTTGAAACTGTCGTTTTGTAGAATCTGCAAAGGAATATTGTGAGCCCATTGAGGCTTCTGGGGTGATAGGAAATATCTTCACGTAAAAACTAGACAGATACTTTCTGAGAAACTATTTTGTCATGTGTGACTTCTACTCACCGGGTTGAAACTTTCTCTTGATTGAGCAGTTTGGAAACGGTCTTTTTGTAGAATCTGCAAATTGATATTTGGAGTGCTTTTGGCCTATGTTGAAAAACAAAATATCTTCCCATAAAAAGTAGGCAGAAGCTTTTGGAGAAATTTCTTTGTGATGTGTGCATTCATCTCACACAGTTGAACTTTTCTTTTGATTGAGCAGTGTGGAAACACTCTTTTTGTAGAGTCTGCAAGTGGATATTTTGAGTGCTTTGTGGCCTATAGTGAAAAAGGAAATATCTTCACATAAAAACTGGACAGAAGAATTCTGAGAAACTTCCTTTGAATGGGCGCATTCATCTCACACTGTTGAAATTTTTTTTTGATTGAGCACCTTCTAAACAGTCATTTTGTAGAATGTGCAAAGGAATATTTGTGAGCCCATTGATGCCTCTGGGGAAACAGGAAATATCTTCACATAAAAACGAGACAGAATCTTTCTCAGAAACGTCTTGGTGATGTGTGCATTCATCTCACTGAGTTGAACTTTATTTTGATTGAGCAGTTTGGAAACAGTCTTTTCTAGTATCTGCAAATGGATATTTTAAGCACTCTGAGGCCTACGGTTAAAAAGGAAATATCTTCAATATAAATCAGACAGAAGCATTCATAGAAACTTCTTTGTGATGTGTGCATTCATCTCACCGACTAGAACCTTTCTTTTGATTGAGCAGTTTTGAAACACTCTTTTAGCGGAATCTGCAAGTGTTTATTTGGAGCGCATGAGGAATATGGTGGAAAAGGAATCTTCTTCACATGGAAACGAGACGGAAGCATTCTGAGAAACTTCTCTGGGATGGATGCATTCATTTCACAGAGTTAAACCTTTCCTGTGATTGAGCGGTTTGGAAACAGTAGTTTTTTACAATCTGCAGAAGGATACTTGTGAGCCGATTGAGGTCTATGGGGTGATAAGAAATATGTTCACATAAAAACTAGATAGAAAGTTTCTGAGAAACTTCTTTGTGATATTAGCTTTTATCTCATAGAGTTGAAACTTTCTTTTTATTGAGCAGTTTGGGAACAGTCTTTTTGTAGTATCTACAAATGGATATTACCAGTGCTTTGAGGCCTATGGTGAAAAAGGAAATATCTTCACATAAAAACAAGGCGGAAGCATTCTGAGAAACTTCTTTTTGATGTCTGCATTCATCTCACAGAGTTGAACCTTTCTTTCGATTGAGCAGTTTTGAAAGGCTCTATTTGTAGGATCTGCAAGTGGATATTTGGAACGCTTTGAGGCCTATAGTGGAAAAGGAAATATCTTCACATAAAAACCTAGAAAGAAGAATTCTGAGAAACTTCCCAGGAAGGTGTATTTTCGTCTCACACTGTTAAACCTTTCTTTTGATTGAGCAGATTCGATACAGTCGTTTAGTAGAATATGAAAGGGAATATTTGAGAGCCCATTGAGGCCTCTGGGGAAGTAAGAAATAACTTCACCTAAAAATTAGACAAAAACTTTCTGAGAAACTTCCTTGTGATGTGTGTATTCATCATACACAAGTTGAACTTTCTTTTGATTGAGCGGTTTGGATACAGTCATTTGTATTATCTATAAATGGATATTTGGAGCGTATTGAGGCCTATGGTGAAAAAGGAAATATCCTCACATAAAATTCAGATGGAAGCATTCTTAGAAACTCCTTTGTGATGTGCACATTCATCTCACAGACTTCAAACTTTCTATTGATTGAGCAGTTTTGAAACACTCTTTTTGTAGAATCTGCCAGTGGATATTTGGAGCGCTCTGTGGCCCATAGTGGAAAAGGAAATATCTTCATAAGAAAAATAAACAGAAGCACTTTGAGAAACTTCTCTGTGTTGTATGCAGTCATATCTCAGACATGAAACTTTCTTTGGTACAGCAGTTTTCAAACACTCTTTTTGGAGATTCTGAAAGTAGATATTTGGAGAGACTTGAGGACTACGGTGGAAAAGGAAATATCTTCACAAAAAAACTAGACAGAAACATTCTGAGAAGCTTCTTTGTGATGTGTGCATCCATCTCAAAGAGTTGAAACTTTCTTTTGATTGAGCATTTTTGAAGCACTCTTTTTGTAGAATCTTCAAGTGGATATTTGGAGTGTTTGTGGCCTGTGGTGGAAAAGGAAATATATTCACTTAAAAACTAGACAGAAGCATTCTGAGAAACTTCTTTCTGATGTGCTCATTCAACTCACAGAGTTGAGCTTTTCTTTTGATTGAGCAGTTTGGAAACAGTCTTTTTGTAGAAACTGCAAGTGGATATTTGGAGCGCATTACGGCCTATAGTGGAAAAGGAAATATATTCACATAGAAACTAGACAGAAGCATTCTGAGAAACTTCTTTGTGATGTGCTCATTCAACTCACAGAGTTGAACTTTTCTTTTGTTTGAGCAGTTTGCAAACAGTCTTTTGTAGAATCTGCAAGTGGATATTAGGAGTGCATTACGGCCTATAGTGGAAAATGAAATAACTTCACATAAAAAATAGACAGAAACATGATGAGAAACTACTATGTGATGCGTGCATTCATAACCAGAGTTGTGTTTCTCTTTTGATTGAACAGTTTTGAAACACTCTTTCTGTTGAATCTGAAAGGGATATTTGGAGCGCTTTGCAGCCTATGGTGAAAAAGGAAATATCTTCACATAAAAGCTAGACAGAAGCATTCTAAGAAAGTGCTTTGTGACGTGTGCATTCATCTCAGAGTGTTGAACCTTTCTTTTGATTGAGCAGTTTTGAAACACTCTTATTGTAGAATCTGCAAGTGGATATTTGGAGAGTTTGAGGCCACTGGTGGAAAAGCAAATATCTTCACATCAAAACTAGACAGAATCATTATAAGTAATCTCTTTGAGATGCGTGCATTCAACTCACAGAGTTGGACATTTCCTTTGATTGAGCAGTTTGGAAACAGTCTTTATGCAGTATCTGCAAACGGATATTTGGAGCACTTTCAGGCCTATAGTAGGAAGGGAAATATCTTCACATAAAAACTAGACAGCAAATTACTGAGACACTTCTTAATGATGTGTGCATTCATCTCACAGCGTTGAAACTTTCTTTTGATTGAGCCGTTTGGAAACACTCTTTTAGTAGAAACTGCAAGGGGATATTTGGAGCGTTTTGTGGTCTATGGTAGAAAAGGATATGTTCACATAAAAATAGAAGCATTCTGAGGAACTTCCTGATGTGTGCATTCGTCTCAAAGAGTTGAACTTTTCTTTTGATTGAGCAGCTTTGAAAAACTCTTTCTGCAGTATCTGCAAGTTGATATTTGGAGTGCTTTGTGGCCTATAGTAGAAAAGGAAATATCTTTACATAAAACTAGACAGAAGCATTCTGAGGAAACTTCTTTGTGATGTGTGCATTCATCTCACAGAGTTGAATCTTTCTTTTGTTTGAGCAGTTTTGAAACTCTCTTTTTGTAGAATCTTCAAGTGGATATTTTCAGCGCTTTGAGGCCTACGGTGGAAAAGAAAATATCTTCACATAAAAACTAGTCAGAACCATTCTGAGAAACTTCTTTATGACGTGTGCATTCAACTCATGGAGTTCAACCTTTCTTTTGATTCAGCAGTTTGGAAACAGTCTTTTTACAGTATCTGCAAATGGCTATTTGGAGAGCTTTGAGGCCTATGGTGGAAAAGGAAATCTCTTCCCATTAAAACTAGACAGCAGCATTCTGAGAAACTTATTTGTGATCTGTGCATTAATCTCACAGAGTTGAACCTTTCTTTTGATTCAGCAGTTTTGAAACTGTCGTTTTGTAGAATCTGCAAAGGAATATTTGTGAGACCATTGAGGCTTCTGGGGTGATAGGAAATATCTTCACATAAAAACTAGACAGATACTTTCTGAGAAACTATTTTGTCATGTGTGACTTCTACTCACTGGGTTGAAACTTTCTCTTGATTGAGCAGTTTGGAAACAGTCTTTTTGTAGAATCTGCAAATTGATATTTGGAGTGCTTTTGGCCTACGTTGAAAAACGAAATATCTTCCCATAAAAAGTAGGCAGAAGTTTTGGAGAAATTTATTTTGATGTGTGCATTCATCTCACACAGTTGAAATATTCTTTTGATTGTGCAGTGTGGATACACTCGTTTTGTAGAGTCTGCAAGTGGATATTTGGAGCACTTTGTGGCCTATAGTGAAAAAGGAAATATCTTCACATAAAAACTAGATAGAAGAATTCTGAGAAACTTCCTTTGAATGGGCGCATTCATCTCACACTGTTGAACTTTTTTTTTGATTGAGCACCTTCTAAACAGTCATTTTGTAGAATAGGCAAAGGAATGTTTGTGAGCCCATTGATGCCTCTGGAGAAACAGGAAATATCTTCACATAAAAACGAGACAGAATCTTTCTCAGAAACGTCTTGGTGATGTGTGCATTCATCTCACTGAGTTGAACTTTACTTTGATTGAGCAGTTTGGAAACAGTCTTTTCTAGTATCTGCAAATGGATATTTTAAGCACTCTGAGGCCTACGGTGAAAAAAGAAATATCTTCAATATAAATCAGACAGAAGCATTCATAGAAACTTCTTTGTGATGTGTGCATTCATCTCACTGACTAGAACCTTTCTTTTGATTGAGCAGTTTTGAAACACTTTTATAGCAGAATCTGCAAGTGTTTATTTAGAGTGCATGAGGAATATGGTGGAAAAGGAATCTTCTTCACATAAAAACGAGACAGAAGCATTCTGAGAAACTTCTCTGTGATGGGTGCATTCATTTCACAGAGTGGAACCTTTCCTGTGATTGAGTGGTTTGGAAACAGTCGTTTTTTATAATCTGCAGAAGGATACTTGTGAGCCATTGAGGTCTATGGGGTGATAAGAAATATGTTCACATAAAAACTAGATAGAAAGTTTCTGAGAAACTTCTTTGTGATATTTGCTTTTATCTCCTAGAGTTGAAACTTTCTTTTTATTGAGCAGTTTGGGGACAGTCTTTTTGTAGTATCTGCAAATGGATATTACCAGTGCTTTGAGGCCTATGGTGGAAAAGGAAATATCTTCACATAAAAACAAGGCGGAAGCATTCTGAGAAACTTCTTTTTGATGTATGCATTCATCTCACAGAGTTGAACCTTTCTTTTGATTGAGCAGTTTTGAAACGCTCTATTTGTAGTATCTGCAAGTGGATATTTGGAACGCTTTGAGGCCTATAGTGGAAAAGGAAATATCTTCACATAAAAAACTAGAAAGAAGAATTCTGAGAAACTTCCTAGGAAGGTGTGTTTTCGTCTCACACTGTTAAACCCGTCTTTTGATTGAGCAGCTTCGATACAGTCATTTAGTAGAATATGAAAGGGAATATTTGAGAGCCCATTGAGGCCTCTGGGGAAATAAGAAATATCTTCACCTAAAAACTAGACAAAATCTTTCTGAGAAACAGCCTTGTGATGTGTGCCTTCATCATACACAGTTGAACTTTCTTTTGATTGAGCAGTTTGGATACAGTCATTTGTATTATCTGTAAATGGATATTTGGAGTGTACTGAGGCCTATGGTGAAAAAGGAAATATCCTCACATAAAATTCAGATGGAAGCATTCTTAGAAACTCCTTTGTGATGTGTACATTCATCTCACAGACTTCAAACTTTCTATTGATTGAGCAGTTTTGAAACACCCTTTTTGTAGAATCTGCCAGTGGATATTTGGAGCACTCTGTGGCCCATAGTGGAAAAGGAAATATCTTCATAAGAAAAATAAACAGAAGCACTTTGAGAAACTTCTCTGTGTTGTATGCAGTCATATCTCAGACATGAAACTTTCTTTGGTACAGGAGTTTTAAAACACTCTTTTTGGAGATTCTGAAAGTAGATATTTGGAGAGACTTGAGGACTACGGTGGAAAAGGAAATATCTTCACAAGAAAACTAGACAGAAACATTCTGAGAAGCTTCTTTGTGTTGTGTGCGTCCATCTCGAAGAGTTGAACCTTTGTTTTGATTGCGCATTTTTGAGGCACTCTTTTTGTAGAATCTTCAAGTGGATATTTGGAGGGTTTGTGGCCTGTGGTGGAAAAGCAAATATATTCACATAAAAACTAGATAGAAGCATTCTGAGAAACTTCTTTGTGATGTGCTCATTCAACTCACAGAGTTGAGCTTTTCTTTTGATTGAGCAGTTTGGAAACAGTCTTTCTGTAGAATCTGCAAGTGGATATTTGGAGCGCATTACGGCCTATAGTGGAAAAGGAAATATATTCACATAAAAACTAGACAGAAGCATTCTGAGAAACTTCTTTGTGATGTGCTCATTCAACTCACAGAGTTGAGCTTTTCTTTTGATTGAGCAGTTTGGAAACAGTCTTTCTGTAGAATCTGCAAGTGGATATTAGGAGTGCATTACGGCCTATAGTGGAAAATGAAATATCTTCACATAAAAACTAGACAGAAACATTATGAGAAACTGCTTTGTGATGCGTGCATTCATCACCAGAGTTGAGTTTCTCTTTTGATTGAACAGTTTTGAAACACTCTTTCTGTAGAATCTGAAAGGGATATTTGGAGCGCTTTGCAGCCTATGGTGTAAAAGGAAACATCTTCCCATAAAAGCTAGACAGAAGCATTCTAAGAAAGTGCTTTGTGACGCGTGCATTCATCTGACAGTGTTGAACCTTTCTTTTGATTGAGCAGTTTTGAAACACTCTTATTGTAGAATCTGCAAGTGGATATTTGGAGAGTTTGAGGCCACTGGTGGAAAAGCAAATATCTTCACATCAAAACTAGACAGAATCATTATAAGTAATCTCTTTGAGATGCGTGCATTCAACTCACAGAGTTGGACGTTTCCTTTGATTGAGCAGTTTGGAAACAGTCTTTTTGCGGTATCTGCAAGCGGATATTTGGAGCACTTTCAGGCCTATAGTAGGAAAGGAAATATCTTCACATAAAAACTAGACAGAAAATTACTGAGAAACTTCGTAATGATGTGTGCATTCATCTCACAGAGTTGAAACTTTCCTGTGATTGAGCAGTTTGGAAACACTCTTTTAGTAGAAAGTGCAAGGGGATATTTGGAGGGTTTTATGGTCTATGGTAGAAAAGGTTATCTTCACATAAAAATAGAAGCATTCTGAGGAACTTCCTGATGTGTGCATTCATCTCAAAGAGTTGAACTTTTCTTTTGATTGAGCAGCTTTGAAAAACTCTTTCTGCAGAATCTGCAAGTTGATATTTGGAAAGCTTTGTGGCCTATAGTAGAAAAGGAAATATCTTTACATAAAACTAGACAGAAGCATTCTGAGAAACTTCTTTGTGATGTGTGCATTCATCTCACAGAGTTGAATCTTTCTTTTGTTTGAGCAGTTTTGAAACTCTCTTTTTGTAGAATCTTCAAGTGGATATTTTCAGCGCTTTGAGGCCTACGGTGGAAAAGAAAATATCTTCACATAAAAACTAGTCAGAAGCATTCTGAGAAACTTCTTTGTGACGTGTGCATTCAACTCATGGAGTTCAACCTTTCTTTTCATTCAGCAGTTTGGAAACAGTCTTTTTACAGTATCTGCAAATGGCTATTTGGAGAGCTTTGAGGCCTATGGTGGAAAAGGAAATCTCTTCCCATAAAAACTAGACAGCAGCATTCTGAGAAACTTATTTGTGATCTGTGCATTCATCTCACAGAGTTGAACCTTTCTTTTGATTCAGCAGTTTTGAAACTGTCGTTTTGTAGAATCTGCAAAGGGATATTTGTGAGCCCATTGAGGCTTCTGGGGAGATAGGAAATATCTTCACATAACAACTAGACAGATACTTTCTGAGAAACTATTTTGTCATGTGTGACTTCAACTCACCGGGTTGAAACTTTCTCTTGATTGAGCAGTTTGGGAACAGTCTTTTTGTAGAATCTGCAAATGAATATTTGGAGCACTTTTGGCCTATGTTGAAAAATGAAGTATCTTTCCATAAAAACTAGGCAGAAGTTTTGGAGAAATTTATTTTGATGTGTGCATTCATCTCACACAGTTGAAATTTTCTTTTGATTGAGCAGTGTGGATACACTCGTTTTGTAGAGTCTGCAAGTGGATATTTGGAGCACTTTCTGGCCTATAGTGAAAAAGGAAATATCTTCACATAAAAACTAGATAGAAGAATTCTGAGAAACTTCCTTTGAATGGGTGCATTCATCTCACACTGTTGAACTTTTTTTTTGATTGAGCACCTTCTAAAGAGTCATTTTGTAGAATCTGCAAAGGAATATTTGTGAGCCCATTGATGCCTCTGGGGAAACAGGAAATATCTTCACATAAAAACGAGACAGAATCTTTCTCAGAAACGTCTTGGTGATGTGTGCATTCATCTCACTGAGTTGAACTTTATTTTGATTGAGCAGTTTGGAAACAGTCTTTTCTAGTATCTGCAAATGTATATTTTAAGCACTCTGAGGCCTACGGTGAAAAAGGAAATATCTTCAATATAAATCAGACAGAAGCATTCATAGAAACTTCTTTGTGATGTGTGCATTCATCTCACCGACTAGAACCTTTCTTTTCATTGAGCAGTTTTGAAACACTCTTTTAGCGGAATCTGCAAGTGTTTATTTGGAGCGCATGAGGAATATGGTGGAAAAGGAATCTTCTTCACTTGAAAACGAGACGGAAACATTCTAAGAAACTTCTCCGTGATGGATGCATTCATTTCACAGAGTTAAACCTTTCCTGTGATTGAGCGGTTTGGAAACAGTAGTTTTTTACAATCTGCAGAAGGATACTTGTGAGCCGATTGAGGTCTATGGGGTGATAAGAAATATGTTCACATAAAAACTAGATAGAAAGTTTCTGAGAAACTGCTTTGTGATATTAGCTTTTATCTCATAGAGTTGAAAATTTCTTTTTATTGAGCAGTTTGGGAACAGTCTTTTTGTAGTATCTGCAAATGGATATTACCAGTGCTTTGAGGCGTATGGTGAAAAAGGAAATATCTTCACATAAAAACAAGGCGGAAGCATTCTGAGAAACTTCTTTTTGATGTCTGCATTCATCTCACAGAGTTGAACCTTTCTTTTGATTGAGCAGTTTTGAAAGGCTCTATTTGTAGGATCTGCAAGTGGATATTTGGAACGCTTTGAGGCCTATAGTGGAAAAGGAAATATCTTCACATAAAAACCTAGAAAGAAGAATTCTGAGAAACTTCCGAGGAAGGTGTATTTTCGTCTCACACTGTTAAACCCGTCTTTTGATTGAGCAGCTTCGATACAGTCATTTAGGAGAATATGAAAGGGAATATTTGAGAGCCCATTGAGGCCTCTGGGGAAATAAGAAATATCTTCACCTAAAAGCTAGACAAAAACTTTCTGAGAAACACCCTTCTGATGTGTGCATTCATCATACACAGTTGAACATTCTTTTGATTGAGCAGTTTGGATACAGTCATTTGTATTATCTGTAAATGGATATTTGGAGTGTATTGAGGCCTATGGTGAAAAAGGAAATATCCTCACATAAAATTCAGATGGAAGCATTCTTAGAAACTCCTTTGTGATGTGTGCATTCATCTCACAGACTTCAAACTTTCTATTGATTGAGCAGTTTTGAAACACTCTTTTTGTAGAATCTGCAAGTCGATATTTGGAGCGCTCTGTGGCCCATAGTGGAAAAGGAAATATCTTCATAAAAAAAATAAACAGAAGCACTTTGAGAAACTTCTCTGTGCTGTATGCAGTCATATCTCAGACATGAAACTTTCTTTGATACAGCAGTTTTAAAACACTCTTTTTGGAGATTCTGAAAGTAGATATTTGAGAGACATGAGGACTATGGTGGAAAAGGAAATATCTTCACACAAAAACTAGACAGAAACATTCTGAGAAGCTTCTTTGTGATGTGTGCATCCATCTCAAAGAGTTGAACCTTTCTTTTGATTGACCAT
Source organism: Homo sapiens (assembly GCF_000001405.40). Classification (NCBI taxonomy): domain Eukaryota; kingdom Metazoa; phylum Chordata; class Mammalia; order Primates; family Hominidae; genus Homo; species Homo sapiens. Next base: position 10,918,095 of record NC_000021.9, read on the forward strand.
TTTTGAAGCACTCTTTTTGTAGAATCTTCAAGTGGATATTTGGAGTGTTTGTGGCCTGAGGTGGAAAAGGAAATATATTCACATAAAAACTAGATAGAAGCATTCTGAGAAACTTCTTTCTGATGTGCTCATTCAACTCACAGAGTTGAGCTTTTCTTTTGATTGAGCAGTTTGGAAACAGTCTTTTTGTAGAAACTGCAAGTGGATATTTGGAGCGCATTACGGCCTATAGTGGAAAAGGAAATATATTCACATAAAAACTAGACAGAAGCATTCTGAGAAACTTCTTTGTGATGTGCTCATTCAACTCACAGAGTTGAACTTTTCTTTTGTTTGAGCAGTTTGCAAACAGTCTTTCTGTAGAATCTGCAAGTGGATATTAGGAGTGCATTACGGCCTATAGTGGAAAATGAAATATCTTCACATAAAAACCAGACAAAAACATTATGAGAAACTGCTTTGTGATGCGTGCATTCATCACCAGTGTTGAGTTTCTCTTTTGATTGAACAGTTTTGAAACACTCTTTCTGTAGAATCTGAAAGGGATATTTGGAGCGCTTTGCAGCCTATGGTGAAAAAGGAAATATCTTCACATAAAAGCTAGACAGAAGCATTCTAAGAAAGTGCTTTGTGACGTGTGCATTCACCTCACAGTGTTGAACCTTTCTTTTGATTGAGCAGTTTTGAAACACTCTTATTGTAGAATCTGCAAGTGGATATTTGGAGAGTTTGAGGCCACTGGTGGAAAAGCAAATATCTTCACATCAAAACTAGACAGAATCATTATAAGTAATCTCTTTGAGATGCGTGCATTCAACTCACAGAGTTGGACATTTCCTTTGATTGAGCAGTTTGGAAACAGTCTTTTTGCAGTATCTGCAAACGGATATTTGGAGCACTTTCAGGCCTATAGTAGGAAATTAAATATCTTCACATAAAAACTAGACAGAAAATTACTGAGAAACTTCTTAATGATGTGTGCATTCATCTCACAGAGTTGAAACTTTCTTTTGATTGAGCAGTTTGGAAACACTCTTTTAGTAGAAACTGCAAGGGGATATTTGGAGCATTTTGTGGTCTATGGTAGAAAAGGCTATATCTTCACATAAAAATAGAAGCATTTTGAGGAACTTCATGATGTGTGCATTCATCTCAAAGAGTTGAACTTTTCTTTTGATTGAGTAGCTTTGAAAAACTCTTTCTGCAGAATCTGCAAGTTGATATTTGGAGTGCTTTGTGGCCTATAGTAGAAAAGGAAATATCTTTACTTAAAACTAGACAGAAGCATTCTGAGAAACTTCTTTGTGATGTGTGCATTCATCTCACAGAGTTGAATCTTTCTTTTGTTTGAGCAGTTTTGAAACTCTCTTTCTGTAGAATCTTCAAGTGGATATTTTTAGTGCTTTGAGGACTATGGTGGAAAAGAAAATATCTTCACATAAAAACTAGTCAGAAGCATTCTGAGAAACTTCTTTGTGACGTGTGCATTCAACTCATGGAGTTCAACCTTTCTTTTGATTCAGCAGTTTGGAAACAGTCTTTTTACAGTATCTGCAGATGGATATTTGGAGAGCTTTGAGGCCTATGGTGGAAAAGGAAATATCTTCCCATAAAAACTAGACAGCAGCATTCTGAGAAACTTATTTGTGATCTGCGCATTCATCTCACAGAGTTGAACCTTTCTCTTGATTCAGCAGTTTTGAAACTGTCGTTTTGTAGAATCTGCAAAGGAATATTTGTGAGCCCATTGAGGCTTCTGGGGTGATAGGAAATATCTTCACATAAAAACTAGACAGATACTTTCTGAGAAACTATTTTGTCATGTGTGTCTTCTACTCACCGGGTTGAAACTTTCTGTTGATTGAGCAGTTTGGAAACAGTCTTTTTGTAGAATCTGCAAATTGATATTTGGAGTGCTTTTGGCCTACATTGAAAAACGAAATATCTTCCCATAAAAAGTAGGCAGAAGTTTTGGAGAAATTTATTTTGATGTGTGCATTCATCTCACACAGTTGAAATTTTCTTTTGATTGAGCAGTGTGGATACACTCGTTTTGCAGAGTCTGCAAGTGGATATTTGGAGCACTTTGTGGCCTATAGTGAAAAAGGAAATATCTTCACATAAAAACTAGATAGAAGAATTCTGAGAAACTTCCTTTGAATGGGCGCATTCATCTCACACTGTTGAACTTTTTTTTTTGATTGAGCACCTTCTAAACAGTCATTTTGTAGAATATGCAAAGGAATATTTGTGAGCCCATTGATGCCTCTGCGGAAACAGGAAATATCTTCACATAAAAACGAGACAGAATCTTTCTCAGAAACGTCTTGGTGATGTGAGCATTCATCTCACTGAGTTGAACTTTATTTTGATTGAGCAGTTTGGAAACAGTCTTTTCTAGTATCTGCAAATGGATATTTTAAGCACTCTGAGGCCTACGGTGAAAAAGGAAATATCTTCAATATAAATCAGACAGAAGGATTCATAGAAACTTCTTTGTGATGTGTGCATTCATCTCACCGACTAGAACCTTTCTTTTGATTGAGCAGTTTTGAAACACTCTTTTAGCGGAATCTGCAAGTGTTTATTTGGAGCGCATGAGGAATATGGTGGAAAAGGAATCTTCTTCACATAGAAACGAGATGGAAGCATTCTGAGAAACTTCTCTGTGATGGATGCATTCATTTCACAGAGTTAAACCTTTCCTGTGATTGAGCGGTTTGGAAACAGTAGTTTTTTACAATCTGCAGAAGGATACTTGTGAGCCGATTGAGGTCTATGGGGTGATAAGAAATATGTTCACATAAAAAATAGATAGAAAGTTTCCGAGAAACTTCTTTGTGATATTTGCTTTCATCTCATAGAGTTGAAACTTTCTTTTTATTGAGCTGTTTGGGAACAGTCTTTTTGTAGTACCTGCAAATGGATATTACCAGTGCTTTGAGGCCTATGGTGAAAAAGGAAATATCTTCACATAAAAACAAGGCAGAAGCATTCTGAGAAACTTCTTTTTGATGTCTGCATTCATCTCACAGAGTTGAACCTTTCTTTTGATTGTGCAGTTTTGAAACGCTCTATTTGTAGTATCTGCAAGTGGATATTTGGAACGCTTTGAGGCCTATAGTGGAAAAGGAAATATCTTCACATAAAAACCTAGAAAGAAGAATTCTGAGAAACTTCCTAGGAATGTGTGCTTTCATCTCACACTGTTGAACCTTTCTTTTGATTGAGCAGCTCCGATATAGTCGTTTAGTAAAATCTGAAAGAGAATATTTGAGAGCCCATTGCGGCCTCTAGGGAAATAGGAAGTATCTTCACCTAAAAACTAGACACAAACTTTCTGAGAAACTTCCTTGTGATATGTGCATTCGTCACACAGAGTTGAACTTCCTTTTGATTGGGCAGTTTGGAAACAGTCATTTGTATTATCTGTAAATGGATATTTGGAGTGTATTGAGGCCTGTGGTGAAAAACGAAATTTCTTCACATAAAAATCACATGGAAGCATTCTCAGAAACTCCCTTGTGATGTGTGCACTCATCTCACAGACTTCAAACTTTCTATTGATTGAGCAGTTTTGAAACACTCTTTTTGTAGAATCTGCAAGTGGATATTTGGAGCGCTCTGTGGCCCATAGTGGAAAAGGAAATATCTTCATAAAAAAAATAAACAGAAGCACTTTGAGAAACTTCTCTGTGTTGTATGCAGTCATATCTCAGACATGAAACTTTCTTTGGTACAGCAGTTTTAAAACACTCTTTTTGGAGATTCTGAAAGTAGATAATTGGAGAGACTTGAGGACTACGGTGGAAAAGGAAATATCTTCACAAAAATACTAGACAGAAACATTCTGAGAAGCTTCTTTGTGATGTGTGCGTCCATCTCGAAGAGTTGAACCTTTCTTTTGATTGAGTATTTTTGAAGCACTCTTTTTGTAGAATCTTCAAGTGGATATTTGGAGGGTTTGTGGCCTGTGGTGGAAAAGGAAATATATTCACATAAAAACTAGATAGAAGCATTCTGAGAAACTTCTTTGTGATGTGCTCATTCAATTCACAGAGTTGAGCTTTTCTTTTGATTGAGCAGTTTGGAATCAGTCTTTTTGTAGAATCTGCAAGTGGATATTTGGAGCGCATGACGGCCTATAGTGGAAAAGGAAATATATTCACATAAAAACTAGACAGAAGCATTCTGAGAAACTTTTTATGATGTGCTCATTCAACTCACAGAGTTGAACTTTTCTTTTGTTTGAGCAGTTTGCAAACAGTCTTTTTGTAGAATCTGCAAGTGGATATTAGGAGTGCATTACGGCCTATAGTGGAAAATGAAATAACTTCACATAAAAAATAGACAGAAACATTATGAGAAACTGCTCTGTGATGCGTGCATTCATCACCAGAGTTGAATTTCTCTTTTGATTGAACAGTTTTGAAACACTCTCTCTGTAGAATCTGAAAGGGATATTTGGAGCGCTTTGCAGCCTATGGTGAAAAAGGAAATATCTTCAAATAAAAGCTAGACAGAAGCATTCTAAGAAAGTGCATTATGACGTGTGCATTCATCTCACAGTGTTGAACCTTTCTTTTGATTGAGCAGTTTTGAAACACTCTTATTGTAGAATCTGCAAGTGGATATTTGCAGAGTTTGAGGCCACTGGTGGAAAAGCAAATATCTTCACATCAAAACTAGACAGAATCATTATAAGTAATCTCTTTGAGATGCGTGCATTCAACTCACAGAGTTGGACATTTCCTTTGATTGAGCAGTGTGGAAACAGTCTTTTTGCAGTATCTGCAAACGGATATTTGGAGCACTTTCAGGCCTATAGTAGGAAAGGAAATATCTTCACATAAAAACTAGACAGGAAATTACTGAGAAACTTCTTAATGATATGTGCATTCATCTCACAGAGTTGAAACTTCTTTTGATTGAGCAGTTTGGAAACACTCTTTTAGTAGAAACTGCAAGGGGATATTTGGAGCGTTTTGTGGTCTATGGTAGAAAAGGCTATATCTTCACATAAAAATAGAAGCATTCTGAGGAACTTCATGATGTGTGCATTCATCTCAAAGAGTTTAACTTGTCTTTTGACTGAGCAGCTTTGAAAAACTCTTTCTGCAGAATCTGCAAGTTGATATTTGGAGTGCTTTGTGGCCTATAGTAGAAAAGGAAATATCTTTACATAAAACTAGACAGAAGCATTCTGAGAAACTTCTTTGTGATGTGTGCATTCATCTCACAGAGTTGAATCTTTCTTTTGTTTGAGCAGTTTTGAAACTCTTTCTGTAGAATCTTCAAGTGGATATTTTCAGCGCTTTGAGGCCTATGGTGGAAAAGAAATTATCTTCACATAAAAACTAGTCAGAAGCATTCTGAGAAACTTCTTTGTGACGTGTGCATTCAACTCATGGAGTTCAACCTTTCTTTTGATTCAGCAGTTTGGAAACAGTCTTTTTACAGTATCTGCAAATGGCTATTTGGAGAGCTTTGAGGCCTATGGTGTAAAAGGAAATCTCTTCCCATAAAAACTAGACAGCAGCATTCTGAGAAACTTATTTGTGATCTGTGCATTCATCTCACAGAGTTGAACCTTTCTTTTGATTCAGCAGTTTTGAAACTGTCGTTTTGTAGAATCTGCAAAGGAATATTTGTGAGCCCATTGAGGCTTCCTGGGGTGATAGGAAATATCTTCACATAAAAACTAGACAGAAGTTTTGGAGAAATTTATTTTGATGTGTGCATTCATCTCACACAGTTGAAATTTTCTTTTGATTGAGCAGTGTGGATACACTCGTTTTGTAGAGTCTGCAAGTGGATATTTGGAGCACTTTGTGGCCTATAGTGAAAAAGGAAATATCTTCACATAAAAACTAGACAGAAGAATTCTGAGAAACTTCCTTTGAATGTGCGCATTTATCTCACAGTGTTGAACCTTTTTTTGATTGAGCAGCTTCTAAACAGTCATTTTGTAGAATATGCAAAGGAATATTTTTGAGCCCATTGATGCCTCTGGGGAAATAGGAAATATCTTCAAATAAAAACTAGACAGAATCTTTCTCAGAAACGTCTTGGTGATGTGTGCATTCATCTCACTGAGTTGAACTTTATTTTGATTGAGCAGTTTGGAAACAGTCTTTTCTAGTATCTGCAAATGGATATTTTAAGCACTCTGAGGCCTACGGTGAAAAAGGAAATATCTTCAATATAAACCAGACAGAAGCATTCATAGAAACTTCTTTGGGATGTGTACATTCATCTCACCGACTAGAACCTTTCTTTTGATTGAGCAGTTTTGAAACACTCTTTTAGCGGAATCTGCAAGTGTTTATTTGGAGCGCATGAGGAATATGGTGGAAAAGGAATCTTCTTCACATAAAAACGAGACGGAAGCATTCTTAGAAACTTCTCTGTGATGGATGCATTCATTTCACAGAGTTAAACCTTTCCTGTGATTGAGCGGTTTGGAAACAGTAGTTTTTTACAATCTGCAGAAGGATACTTGTGAGCCGATTGAGGTCTATGGGGTGATAAGAAATATGTTCACATAAAAACTAGATAGAAAGTTTCTGAGAAACTTCTTTGTGATATTTGCTTTTATCTCCTAGAGTTGAAACTTTCTTTTTATTGAGAAGTTTGGGAACAGTCTTTTTGTAGTATCTACAAATGGATATTACCAGTGCTTTGAGGCCTATGGTGGAAAAGGAAATATCTTCACATAAAAACAAGGCAGAAGCATTCTGAGAAACTTCTTTTTGATGTCTGCATTCATCTCACAGAGTTGAACCTTTCTTTTGATTGAGCAGTTTTGAAACGCTCTATTTGTAGTATCTGCAATTGGATATTTGGAACGCTTTGAGGCCTATAGTGGAAAAGGAAATATCTTCACATAAAAAACTAGAAAGAAGAATTCTGAGAAACTTCCTAGGAAGGTGTATTTTCGTCTCACACTGTTAAACCCGTCTTTTGATTGAGCAGCTTCGATACAGTCATTTAGTAGAATATGAAAGGGAATATTTGAGAGCCCATTGAGGCCTCTGGGGAAATAAGACATATCTTCACCTAAAAACTAGACAAAATCTTTCTGAGAAACACCCTTGTGATGTGTGCATTCATCATACACAGTTGAACTTTCTTTTGATTGAGCAGTTTGGATACAGTCATTTGTATTATCTGTAAATGGATATTTGGAGTGTACTGAGGCCTATGGTGAAAAAGGAAGTATCCTCACATAAAATTCAGATGGAAGCATTCTTAGAAACTCCTTTGTGATGTGTGCACTCATCTCACAGACTTCAAACTTTCTATTGATTGAGCAGTTTTGAAACACTCTTTTTGTAGAATCTGCCAGTGGATACTTGGAGCGCTCTGTGGCCCATAGTGGAAAAGGAAATATCTTCATAAAAAAAATAAACAGAAGCACTTTGAGAACTTTCTCTGGGTTGTATGCAGTCATATCTCAGACATGAAACTTTCTTTGGTACAGCAGTTTTAAAACACTCTTTTTGGAGATTCTGAAAGTAGATATTTGGAGAGACTTGAGGACTACGGTGGAAAAGGAAATATCTTCACAAAAAAACTAGACAGAAACATTCTGAGAAGCGTCTTTTTGATATGTGCATCCATCTCAAAGAGTTGAACCTTTCTTTTGATTGAGCATTTTTGAAGCACTCTTTTTGTAGAATCTTCAAGTGGATATTTGGAGAGTTTGTGGCCTGTGGTGGAAAAGGAAATATATTCACATAAAAACTAGATAGAAGCATTCTGAGAAACTTCTTTGTGATGTGCTCATTCAACTCACAGAGTTGAGCTTTTCTTTTGATTGAGCAGTTGGGAAACAGTCTTTTTGTAGAATCTGCAAGTGGATATTTGGAGCGCATTACGGCCTATAGTGGAAAAGGAAATATATTCACATAAAAACTAGACAGAAGCATTCTGAGAAACTTCTTTGTGATGTGCTCATTCAACTCACAGAGTTGAACTTTTCTTTTGTTTGAGCAGTTTGCAAACAGTCTTTTTGTAGAATCTGCAAGTGGATATTAGGAGTGCATTATGGCCTATAGTGGAGAATGAAATATCTTCACATAAAAACTAGACAGAAACATTATGAGAAACTGCTTTGTGATGTGTGCATTCATCACCAGAGTTGAGTTTCTCTTTTGATTGAACAGTTTTCAAACACTCTTTCTGTAGAATCTGAAAGGGATATTTGGAGCGCTTTGCAGCCTATGGTGAAAAAGGAAATATCTTCACATAAAAGCTAGACAGAAGCATTCTAAGAAAGTGCTTTGTGACGTGTGCATTCATCTCACAGTGTTGAAGCTTTCTTTTGATTGAGCAGTTTTGAAACACTCTTATTGTAGAATCTGCAAGTGGATATTTGGAGAGTTTGAGGTCACTGGTGGAAAAGCAAATATCTTCACATCAAAACTAGACAGAATCATTATAAGTAATCTCTTTGAGATGCGTGCATTCAACTCACAGAGTTGGACATTTCCTTTGATTGAGCAGTTTGGAAACAGTCTTTATGCAGTATCTGCAAACGGATATTTGGAGCACTTTCAGGCCTATAGTAGGAAAGGAAATATCTTCACATAAAAACTAGACAGCAAATTACTGAGACACTACTTAATGTTGTGTGCATTCATCTCACAGAGTTGAAACTTTCTTTTGATTGAGCCGTTTGGAAACACTCTTTTAGTAGAAACTGCAAGGGGATATTTGGAGCGTTTTGTGGTCTATGGTAGAAAAGGATATATCTTCACATAAAAATAGAAGCATTCTGAGGAACTTCATGATGTGTGCATTCATCTCAAAGAGTTGAACTTTTCTTTTGATTGAGCAGCTTTGAAAAACTCTTTCTGCAGAATCTGCAAGTTGATATTTGGAATGCTTTGTGGCCTATAGTAGAAAAGGAAATATCTTTACATAAAACTAGACAGAAGCATTCTGAGAAACTTCTTTGTGATGTGTGCATTCATCTCACAGAGTTGAATCTTTCTTTTGTTTGAGCAGTTTTGAAACTCTCTTTCTGTAGAATCTTCAAGTGAATATTTTCAGCGCTTTGAGGCCTATGGTGGAAAAGAAAATATCTTCACATAAAAACTAGTCAGAAGCATTCTGAGAAACTTCTTTGTGACGTGTGCATTCAACTCATGGAGTTCAACATTTCTTTTGATTCAGCAGTTTGGAAACAGACTTTTCACAGTATCTGCAAATGGATATTTGGAGAGCTTTGAGGCCTATGGTGGAAAAGGAAATCTCTTCCCATAAAAACTAGACAGCAGCATTGTGAGAAACTTATTTGTGATCTGTGCATTCATCTCACAGTGTTGAACCTTTCTTTTGATTCAGCAGTTTTGAAACTGTCGTTTTGTAGAATCTGCAAAGGAATATTTGTGAGCCCATTGAGGCTTCTGGGGTGATAGGAAATATCTTCACATAAAAACTAGACAGATACTTCCTGAGAAACTATTTTGTCATGTGTGACTTCTACTCACCGGGTTGAAACTTTCTCTTGATTGAGCAGTTTGGAAACAGTCTTTTTGTAGAATCTGCAAATTGATATTTGGAGTGCTTTTGGCCTACGTTGAAAAACGAAATATCTTCCCCTAAAAAGTAGGCAGAAGTTTTGGAGAAATTTATTTTGATGTGTGCGTTCATCTCACACAGTTGAAATTTTCTTTTGATTGAGCAGTGTGGATACACTCGTTTTGTAGAGTCTGCAAGTGGATATTTGGAGCACTTTGTGGCCTATAGTGAAAAAGGAAATATCTTCACATAAAAACTAGATAGAAGAATTCTGAGAAACTTCCTTTGAATGGGCGCATTCATCTCACACTGTTGAACTTTTTTTTTCATTGAGCACCTTCTAAACAGTCATTTTGTAGAATATGCAAAGGAATATTTGTGAGCCCATTGATGCCTCTGGGGAAACAGGAAATATCTTCACATAAAAACGAGACAGAATCTTTCTCAGAAACGTCTTGGTGATGTGTGCATTCATCTCACTGAGTTGAACTTTACTTTGATTGAGCAGTTTGGAAACAGTCTTTTCTAGTATATGCAAATGGATATTTTAAGCACTCTGAGGCCTACGGTGAAAAAGGAAATATCTTCAATATAAATCAGACAGAAGCATTCATAGAAACTTCTTTGTGATGTGTGCATTCATCTCACCGACTAGAACCTTTCTTTTGATTGAGCAGTTTTGAAACACTCTTTTAGCGGAATCTGCAAGTGTTTATTTGGAGCGCATGAGGAATATGGTGGAAAAGGAATCTTCTTCACATAAAAACGAGACGGAAGCATTCTGAGAAACTTCTCTGTGATGGATGCATTCATTTCACAGAGTTAAACCTTTCCTGTGATTGAGCGGTTTGGAAACAGTAGATGTTTATAATCTGCAGAAGGATACTTGTGAGCCGATTGAGGTCTATGGGGTGATAAGAAATATGTTCACATAAAAACTAGATAGAAAGTTTCTGAGAAACTTCTTTGTGATATTTGCTTTTATCTCATAGAGTTGAAACTTTCTTTTTATTGAGCAGTTTGGGAACAGTCTTTTTGTAGTATCTGCAAATGGATATTACCAGTTCTTTGAGGCCTGTGGTGAAAAAGGAAATATCTTCACATAAAAACAAGGCAGAAGCATTCTGAGAAACTTCTTTGTGATGTCTGCATTCATCTCACAGAGTTGAACCTTTCTTTTGATTGAGCAGTTTTGAAACGCTCTATTTGTAGTATCTGCAAGTGGATATTTGGAACGATTTGAGGCCTATTGTCGAAAAGGAAATATCTTCACATAAAAAACTAGAAAGAAGAATTCTGAGAAACTTCCTAGGAAGGTGTATTTTCGTCTCACACTGTTAAACCCGTCTTTTGATTGAGCAACTTCGATACAGTCATTTAGTAGAATATAAAAGGGAATATTTGAGAGCCCATTGAGGCCTCTGGGGAAAAAAGAAATATCTTCACCTAAAAACTAGACAAAATCTTTCTGAGAAACACCCTTGTGATGTGTGCATTCATCATACACAGTTGAACTTTCTTTTGATTGAGCAGTTTGGATACAGTCATTTGTATTATCTGTAAATGGATGTTTGGAGTGTACTGAGGCCTATGGTGAGAAAGGAAATATCCTCACATAAAATTCAGATGGAAGCATTCTTAGAAACTCCTTTGTGATGTGTGCATTCATCTCACAGACTTCAAACTTTCTATAGATTGAGCAGTTTTGAAACACTCTTTTTGTAGAATCTGCCAGTGGATATTTGGAGCGCTCTGTGGCCCATAGTGGAAAAGGAAATATCTTCATAAAAAAAATAAACAGAAGCACTTTGAGAAACTTCTCTGTGTTGTATGCAGTCATATCTCAGACATGAAACTTTCTTTGGTACAGGAGTTTTAAAACACTCTTTTTGGAGATTCTGAAAGTAGATATTTGGAGAGACTTGAGGACTACGGTGGAAAAGGAAATATCTTCACAAAAAAACTAGACAGAAACATTCTGAGAAGCTTCTTTGTGATGTGTGCATCCATCTCAAAGAGTGGAACCTTTCTTTTGATTGAGCATTTTTGAAGCACTCTTTTTGTAGAATCTTCAAGTGGATATTTGGAGTGTTTGTGGCCTGTGGTGGAAAAGGAAATATATTCACATAAAAACTAGATAGAAGCATTCTGAGAAACTTCTTTCTGATGTGCTCATTCAACTCACAGAGTTGAGCTTCTCTTTTGATTGAGCAGTTTGGAAACAGTCTTTTTGTAGAAACTGCAAGTGGATATTTGGAGCGCATTACGGCCTATAGTGGAAAAGGAAATATATTCACATAAAAACTAGACAGAAGCATTCTGAGAAACTTCTTTGTGATGTGCTCATTCAACTCACAGAGTTGAACTTTTCTTTTGTTTGAGCAGTTTGCAAACAGTCTTTCTGTAGAATCTGCAAGTGGATATTAGGAGTGCATTACGGCCTATAGTGGAAAAGGAAATATCTTCACATAAAAACTAGACAGACAAACATGATGAGAAACTGCTTTGTGATGCGTGCATTCATCACCAGAGTTGAGTTTCTCTTTTGATTGAACAGTTTTGAAACACTCTTTCTGTAGAATCTGAAAGGGATATTTGGAGCGCTTTGCAGCCTATGGTGAAAAAGGAAATATCTTCACATAAAAGCTAGACAGAAGCATTCTAAGAAAGTGCATTGTGACGTGTGCATTCATCTCACAGTGTTGAACCTTTCTTTTGATTGAGCAGTTTTGAAACACTCTTATTGTAGAATCTGCAAGTGGATATTTGCAGAGTTTGAGGCCACTGGTGGAAAAGCAAATATCTTCACATCAAAACTAGACAGAACCATTCTGAGAAATCTCTTTGAGATGCGTGCATTCAACTCATAGAGTTGGACCTTTCCTTTGATTGAGCAGTTTGGAAGCAGTCTTTTTGCAGTATCTGCAAATGGATATTTGGAGCACTTTCAGGCCTATAGTAGGAAAGGAAATATCTTCAAATAAAAACTAGACAGAAAATTACTGAGAAACTTCTTAATGATGTGTGCATTCATCTCACAGAGTTGAAACTTTCCTTTGATTGAGCAGTTTGGAAACACTCTTTTAGTAGAAACTGCAAGGGGATATTTGGAGCGTTTTATGGTCTATGGTAGAAAAGGTTATCTTCACATAAAAATAGAAGCATTCTGAGGAACTTCCTGATGTGTGCATTCATCTCAAAGAGTTGAACTTTTCTTTTGATTGAGCAGCTTTGAAAAACTCTTTCTGCAGAATCTGCAAGTTGATATTTGGAGTGCTTTGTGGCCTATAGTAGAAAAGGAAATATCTTTACATAAAACTAGACAGAAGCATTCTGAGAAATTTCTTTCTGATGTGTGCATTCATCTCACGAAGTTGAACCATTCTTTTAATTGAGCAGTTTTGAAACACACTTTTTGCAGTATCTTCAAGTGGATATTTGTAGAGCTTTGAGGCCTATGGTAGAAAAGGAAACATTGTCACATAAAAACTAGACAGAAGCATTCTGAGAAACTTCTTTGTGACGTGTGCATTCAACTCATGGAGTTCAACCTTTCTTTTGATTCAGCAGTTTGGAAACAGTCTTTTTACAGTATCTGCAAATGGCTATTTGTAGAGCTTTGAGGCCTATGGTGGAAAAGGAATTATCTTCCCATAAAAACTAGACAGCAGCATTCTGAGGAACTTATTTGTGATCTGTGCATTCATCTCCCAGAGTTGAACCTTTCTTTTGATTCAGCAGTTTTGAAACTGCCTTTTTGTAGAATCTGCAAAGGAATATTTGTGAGCCCATTGAGGCTTCTGGGGTGATAGGAAATATCTTCACGTAAAAACTAGACAGATACTTTCTGAGAAACTATTTTGTCATGTGTGACTTCAACTCACCGAGTTGAAACTTTCTCTTGATTGAGCAGTTTGGAAACAGTCTTTTTGTAGAATCTGCAAATTGATATTTGGAGCGCATTTGGCCTATGTTGAAAAACGAAATATCTTCCCATAAAAAGTAGGCAGAAGTTTTGGAGAAATTTATTTGTGATGTGTGCATTCATCTCACACAGTTGAAATTTTCTTTTGATTGAGCAGTGTGGATACACTCTTTTTGTAGAGTCTGCAAGTGGATATTTGGAGCACTTTGTGGCCTATAGTGAAAAAGGAAATATCTTCACATAAAAACTAGACAGAAGAATTCTGAGAAACTGCCTTTGAATGGGCGCATTCATCTCACACTGTTGAACTTTTTTTTTGATTGAGCACCTTCTAAACAGTCATTTTGTAGAATATGCAAAGGAATATTTGTGAGCCCATTGATGCCTCTGGGGAAACAGGAAATATCTTCACATAAAAACGAGACAGAATCTTTCTCAGAAACGTCTTGGTGATGTGTGCATTCATCTCACTGAGTTGAACTTTACTTTGATTGAGCAGTTTGGAAACAGTCTTTACTAGTATCTGCAAATGGATATTTTAAGCACTCTGAGGCCTACGGTGAAAAAGGAAATATCTTCAATACAAATCAGACAGAAGCATTCATAGAAACTTCTTTGTGATGTGTGCATTCATCTCACCGACTAGAACCTTTCTTTTGATTGAGCAGTTTTGAAACACTCTTTTAGCGGAATCTGCAAGTGTTTCTTTGGAGCGCATGAGGAATATGGTGGAAAAGGAATCTTCTTCACATGAAAACGGACGGAAGCATTCTCAGAAACTTCTCTGTGATGGATGCATTCATTTCACAGAGTTAAACCTTTCCTGTGATTGAGCGGTTGAGAAAGAGTAGTTTTTTACAATCTGCAGAAGGATACTTGTGAGCCGATTGAGGTCTATGGGGTGATAAGAAATATGTTCACATAAAAACTAGATAGAAAGTTTCTGAGAAACTTCTTTGTGATATTTGCTTTTATCTCCTAGAGTTGAAACTTTCTTTTTATTGAGCAGTTTGGGGACAGTCTTTTTGTAGTATCTGCAAATGGATATTACCAGTGCTTTGAGGCCTATGGTGGAAAAGGAAATATCTTCACATAAAAACAACGCGGAAGCATTCTGAGAAACTTCTTTTTGATGTCTGCATTCATCTCACAGAGTTGAACCTTTCTTTTGATTGAGCAGTTTTGAAACGCTCTATTTGTGGTATCTGCAAGTGGATATTTGGAACGCTTTGAGGCCTATAGTGGAAAAGGAAATATCTTCACATAAAAAACTAGAAAGAAGAATTCTGAGAAACTTCCTAGGAAGGTGTATTTTCGTCTCACACTGTTAAACCCGTCTTTTGATTGAGCAGCTTCGATACAGTCATTTAGTAGAATATGAAAGGGAATATTTGAAAGCCCATTGAGGCCTCTGGGGAAATAAGAAATATCTTCACCTAAAAACAAGACAAAATCTTTCTGAGAAACACCCTTGTGATGTGTGCATTCATCATACAGAGTTGAACTTTCTTTTGATTGAGCAGTTTGGATACAGTCATTTGTATTATCTGTAAATGGATATTTGGAGTGTACTGAGGCCTATGGTGAAAAAGGAAATATCCTCACATAAAATTCAGATGGAAGCATATTGAGAAACTTCTCTGTGATGTGTCCATTCATCTCATAGAGTAAAATCTTCCTTTTGATTGAGCAGGTTTGAAACACTCTTTTTGTAGAATCTGCAAGTGGATATTTGGAGCGCTCTGTGGCCCATAGTGGAAAAGGAAATATCTTCATAAGAAAAATAAACAGAAGCACTTTGAGAAAGTTCTCTGTGTTGTATGCAGTCATATCTCAGACATGAAACTTTCTTTGGTACAGCAGTTTTAAAACACTCTTTTTGGAGATTCTGAAAGTAGATATTTGGAGAGACTTGAGGACTACGGTGGAAAAGGAAATATCTTCACAAAAAAACTAGACAGAAACATTCTGAGAAGCTTCTTTGTGATGTGTGCGTCCATCTCGAAGAGTTGAACCTTTCTTTTGATTGAGCATTTTTGAAGCACTTTTTTTGTAGAATCTTCAAGTGGTTATTTGGAGTGTTTGTGGTCTCTGGTGGAAAAGGAAATATATTCACATAAAAACTAGATAGAAGCATTCTGAGAAACTTTTTTGTGATGTGCTCATTCAACTCACAGAGTTGAGATTTTCTTTTGATTGAGCAGTTTGGAAACAGTCTTTTTGTAGAATCTGCCAGTGGATATTTGGAGCGCATGACGGCCTATAGTGGAAAAGGAAATATATTCACATGAAAACTAGACAGAAGCATTCTGAGAAACTTCTTTGTGATGTGCTCATTCAACTCACAGAGTTGAGCTTTTCTTTTGATTGAGCAGTTTGGAAACAGTCTTTTTGTAGAATCTGCAAGTGGATATTTGGAGCGCATGACGGCCTTTAGTGGAAAAGGAAATATATTCACATAAAAACTAGACAGAAACATGATGAGAAACTGCTTTGTGATGCGTGCATTCATCACCAGAGTTGAGTTTCTCTTTTGATTGAACAGTTTTGAAACACTCTTTCTGTAGAATCTGAAAGGGATATTTGGAGCGCTTTGCAGCCTATGGTGAAAAAGGAAATATCTTCACATAAAAGATAGACAGAAAGCATTCTGAGAAAGTGCTTTGTGAGGTGTACATTCATCTCACAGAAGTTAAACCTTTCTTTTGATTGAGCAGTTTTGAAACACTCTTATTGTACAATCTGCAAGTGGATATTTGGAGAGTTTGAGGCCACTGGTGGAAAAGCAAATATCTTCACATAAAAACTAGACAGAATCATTAGAAGTAATCTCTTTGAGATGCGTGCATTCAACTCACAGAGTTGGACATTTCCTTTGATTGAGCAGTGTGGAAACAGTCTTTTTGCAGTATCTGCAAACGGATATTTGCAGCACTTTCAGGCCTATAGTAGGAAAGGAAATATCTTCACATAAAAACTAGACAGAAAATTACTGAGAAACTCCTTAATGATGTGTGCATTCATCTCACAGAGTTGAAACTTTCTTTCCATTGAGCCGTTTGGAAACACTCTTTTAGTAGAAACTGCAAGGGGATATTTGGAGCGTTTTGTGGTCTATGGTAGAAAAGGATATATCTTCACATAAAAATAGAAGCATTCTGAGGAACTTCATGATGTGTGCATTCATCTCAAAGTGTTGAACTTTTCTTTTGATTGAGCAGCTTTGAAAAACTCTTTCTGCAGAATCTGCAAGTTGATATTTGGAGTGCTTTGTGGCCTAGAGTAGAAAAGGAAATATCTTTACATAAAACTAGACAGAAGCATTCTAAGAAAGTGCTTTGTGAAGTGTGCATTCATCTCACAGAGTTGAATCATTCTTTTGTTTGACCAGTTTTGAAACTCTCTTTCTGTAGAATCTTCAAGTGGATATTTTCAGCGCTTTGAGGCCTATGGTGGAAAAGAAAATATCTTCACATAAAAACTAGTCAGAAGCTTTCTGAGAAACTTCTTTGTGATGTGTGCATTCAACTCATGGAGTTGAACCTTTCCTTTGATTCAGCAGTTTGGAAACAGTCTTTTTGTAGTATCTGCAAATGGATATTTGGAGAGCTTTGAGGCCTATGGTGGAAAAGAAAATATCTTCACATAAAAACTAGACAGATACATCCTGAGAAACTATTTTGTCATGTGTGACTTCTACTCACCGGGTTGAAACTTTCTCTTGATTGAGCAGTTTGGAAACAGTAGTTTTTTACAGTCTGCAGAAGGATACTTGTGAGCCGATTGAGGTCTATGGGGTGATAGGAAATATGTTCACATAAAAACTAGATAGAAGTTTTGTAAAAATTTATTTAGATGTGTGCATTCATCTCACACAGTTGAAATTTTCTTTTGATTGGGCAGTGTGGATACACTCGTTTTGTAGGGTCTACAAGTGGATATTTGGAGCACTTTGTGGCCTATAGTGAAAAAGGAAATATCTTCACATAAAAACTAGATAGAAGAATTCTGAGAAACTTCCTTTGAATGGGCGCATTCATCTCACACTGTTGAACTTTTTTTTTGATTGAGCACCTTCTAAACAGTCATTTTGTAGAATATGCAAAGGAATATTTGTGAGCCCATTGATGCCTCTGCGGAAACAGGAAATATCTTCACATAAAAACGAGACAGAATCTTTCTCAGAAACGTCTTGGTCATGTTTGCATTCATCTCACTGAGTTGAACTTTATTTTGATTGAGCAGTTTGGAAAGTGTCTTTTCTAGTATCTGCAAATGGATATTTTAAGCACTCTGAGGCCTACGGTGAAAAAGGAAATATCTTCAATATAAATCAGACAGAAGCATTCATAGAAACTTCTTTGTGATGTGTGCATTCATCTCACCGACTAGAACCTTTCTTTTGATTGAGCAGTTTTGAAACACTCTTTTAGCGGAATCTGCAAGTGTTTCTTTGGAGCGCATGAGGAATATGGTGGAAAAGGAATCTTCTTCACATGAAAACGAGACGGAAGCATTCTGAGAAACTTCTCTGTGATGGATGCATTCATTTCACAGAGTTAAACCTTTCCTGTGATTGAGCGGTTTGGAAACAGTAGTTTTTTACAGTCTGCAGAAGGATACTTGTGAGCCGATTGAGGTCTATGGGATGATAAGAAATATGTTCACATAAAAACTAGATAGAAAGTTTCTGAGAAACTTCTTTGTGATATTTGCTTTTATCTCCTAGAGTTGAAACTTTCTTTTTATTGAGCAGTTTGGGAACAGTCTTTTTGTAGTATCTGCAAATGGATATTACCAGTGCTTTGAGGCCTATGGTGAAAAAGGAAATATCTTCTCATAAAAACAAGGCAGAAGCATTCTGAGAAACTTCTTTTTGATGTCTGCATTCATCTCACAGAGTTGAACCTTTCTTTTGATTGAGCAGTTTTGAAACGCTCTATTTGTAGTATCTGCAAGTGGATATTTGGAACGCTTTGAGGCCTATAGTGGAAAAGGAAATATCTTCACATAAAAAACTAGAAAGAAGAATTCTGAGAAACTTCCTAGGAAGGTGTATTTTCGTCTCACACTGTTAAACCCGTCTTTTGATTGAGCAGCTTCGATACACTCATTTAGTAGAATATGAAAGGGAATACTTGAGAGCCCATTGAGGCCTCTGGGGAAATAAGAAATATCTTCACCTAAAAACTAGACAAAATCTTTCTGAGAAACACCCTTGTGATGTGTGCATTCATCATGCACAGTTGAACTTTCTTTTGATTGAGCAGTTTGGATACAGTCATTTGTATTATCTGTAAATGGATATTTGGAGTGTACTGAGGCCTATGGTGAAAAAGGAAATATCCTCACATAAAATTCAGATGGAAGCATTCTTAGAAACTCCTTTGTGATGTGTGCATTCATCTCACAGACTTCAAACTTTCTATAGATTGAGCAGTGTTGAAACACTCTTTTTGTAGAATCTGCCAGTGGATATTTGGAGCGCTCTGTGGCCAATAGTGGAAAAGGAAATATCTTCATAAAAAAAATAAACAGAAGCACTTTGAGAAAGTTCTCTGTGTTGTATGCAGTCATAAAATCAGACATGAAACTTTCTTTGGTACAGCAGTTTTGAAACACTCTTTTTGGAGATTCTGAAAGTAGATATTTGGAGAGACTTGAGGACTACGGTGGAAAAGGAAATATCTTCACAAAAAAACTAGACAGAAACATTCTGAGAAGCTTCTTTGTGATGTGTGCGTCCATCTCGAAGAGTTGAACCTTTCTTTTGATTGAGCATTTTTGAAGCACTCTTTTTGTAGAATCTTCAAGTGGATATTTGGAGGGTTTGTGGCCTGTGGTGGAAAAGGAAATATATTCACATAAAAACTAGATAGAAGCATTCTGAGAAACTTCTTTGTGATGTGCTCATTCAACTCACAGAGTTGAGCTTTTCTTTTGATTGAGCAGTTTGGAAACACTCTTTTTGTAGAATCTGCAGGTGGATATTTGGAGCGCATTATGGCCTATAGTGGAAAAGGAAATATATTCACATAAAAACTAGACAGAAGCATTCTGAGAAACTTCTTTGTGATGTGCTCATTCAACTCACAGAGTTGAACTTTTCTTTTGTTTGAGCAGTTTGCAAACAGTCTTTCTGTAGAATCTGCAAGTGGATATTAGGAGTGCCTTACGGCCTATAGTGGAAAATGAAATATCTTCACATAAAAACTAGACAGAAACATTATGAGAAACTGCTTTGTGATGCGTGCATTCATCACCAGAGTTGAGTTTCTCTTTTGATTGAACAGTTTTGAAACACTCTTTCTGTAGAATCTGAAAGGGATATTTGCAGCGCTTTGCAGCCTATGGTGAAAAAGGAAATATCTTCACATAAAAGCTAGACAGAAGCATTCTAAGAAAGTGCTTTGTGACGTGTGCATTCATCTCACAGTGTTGAACCTTTCTTTTGATTAAGCAGTTTTGAAACACTCTTATTGTAGAATCTGCAAGTGGATATTTGGAGAGTTTGAGGCCACTGGTGGAAAAGCAAATATCTTCACATCAAAACTAGACAGAATCATTATAAGTAATCTCTTTGAGATGCGTGCATTCAACTCACAGAGTTGGACATTTCCTTTGATTGAGCAGTTTGGAAACAGTCTTTTTGCAGTATCTGCAAACGGATATTTGGAGCACTTTCAGGCCTATAGTAGGAAAGGAAATATCTTCACATAAAAACTAGACACAAAATTACTGAGAAACTTCTTAATGATGTGTGCATTCATCTCACAGAGTTGAAACTTTCTTTTGATTGAGCCGTTTGGAAACACTCTTTTAGTAGAAACTGCAAGGGGATATTTGGAGAGTTTTGTGGTCTATGGTAGAAAACGATATATCTTCACATAAAAATAGAAGCATTCTGAGGAACTTCATGATGTGTGCATTCATCTCAAAGAGTTGAACTTTTCTTTTGATTGAGCAGCTTTGAAAAACTCTTTCTGCAGAATCTGCAAGTTGATATTTGGAGTGCTTTGTGGCCTATAGTAGAAAAGGAAATATCTTTACTTAAAACTAGACAGAAGCATTCTGAGAAACTTCTTTGTGATGTGTGCATTCATCTCACAGAGTTGAATCTTTCTTTTGTTTGAGCAGTTTTGAAACTCTCTTTTTGTAGAATCTTCAAGTGGATATTTTCAATGCTTTGAGGCTTATGGTGGAAAAGAAAATATCTTCACATAAAAACTAGCCAGAAGCATTCTGGGAAATTTTTGTGACGTGTGCATTCAACTCATGGAGTTCAACCTTTCTTTTGATTCAGCAGTTTGGAAACAGTCTTTTTACAGTATCTGCAAATGGCTATTTGGAGAGCTTTGAGGCCTATGGTGGAAAAGGAAATATCTTCCCATAAAAAGTAGACAGCAGCATTCTGAGAAACTCATTTGTGATCTGTGCATTCATCTCCCAGAGTTGAACCTTTCTTTTGATTCAGCAGTTTTGAAACTGTCGTTTTGTAGAATCTGCAAAGGAATATTTGTGAGCCCATTGAGGCTTCTGGGGTGATAGGAAATATCTTCACGTAAAAACTAGACAGATACTTTCTGAGAAACTATTTTGTCATGTGTGACTTCTACTCACCGGGTAGAAACTTTCTCTTGATTGAGCAGTTTGGAAACAGTCTTTTTGTAGAATCTGCAAATTGATATTTGGAGCGCTTTTGGCCTACGTTGAAAAACGAAATATCTTCCCATAAAAAGTAGGCAGAAGTTTTGGAGAAATTTATTTTGATGTGTGCATTCATCTCACACAGTTGAAATTTTCTTTTGATTGGGCAGTGTGGATACACTCGTTTTGTAGAGTCTGCAAGTGGATATTTGGAGCACTTTGTGGCCTATAGTGAAAAAGGAAATATCTTCACATAAAAACTAGATAGAAGAATTCTGAGAAACTTCCTTTGAATGTGTGCATTCATCTCACAGTGTTGAACTTTTTTCTTGATTGAGCAGCTTCTAAACAGTCATTTTGTAGAATATGCAAAGGAATATTTGTGAGCCCATTGATGCCTCCTGGGGAAATAGGAAATATCTTCAAATAAAAACTAGACAGAATCTTTCTCAGAAACGTCTTGGTGATGTGTGCATTTATCTCACTGAGTTGAACTTTACTTTGATTGAGCAGTTTGGAAACAGTGTTTTCTAGTATCTGCAAATGGATATTTTAAGCACTCTGAGGCCTACGGTGAAAAAGGAAATATCTTCAATATAAATCAGACAGAAGCATTCATAGAAACTTCTTTGTGATGTGTGCATTCATCTCACTGACTAGAACCTTTCTTTTGATTGAGCAGTTTTGAAACACTCTTTTAGCGGAATCTGCAAGTGTTTCTTTGGAGCGCATGAGGAATATGGTGGAAAAGGAATCTTCTTCACATGAAAACGGACGGAAGCATTCTGAGAAACTTCTCTGTGATGGATGCATTCATTTCACAGAGTTAAACCTTTCCTGTGATTGAGCGGTTTGGAAACAGTAGTTTTTTACAGTCTGCAGAAGGATACTTGTGAGCCGATTGAGGTCTATGGGGTGATAAGAAATATGTTCACATAAAAACTAGATAGAAAGTTTCTGAGAAACTTCTTTGTGATATTTGCTTTTATCTCATAGAGTTGAAACTTTCTTTTTATTGAGCAGTTTGGGAACAGTCTTTTTGTAGTATCTGCAAATGGATATTGCCAGTGCTTTGAGGCCTATGGTGAAAAAGGAAATATCTTCACATAAAAACAAGGCAGAAGCATTCTGAGAAACTTCTTTTTGATGTCTGCATTCATCTCGCAGAGTTGAACCTTTCTTTTGATTGAGCAGTTTTGAAACGCTCTATTTGTAGTATCTGCAAGTGGATATTTGGAACGCTTTGAGGCCTATAGTGGAAAAGGAAATATCTTCACATAAAAAACTAGAAAGAAGAATTCTGAGAAACATCCTAGGAAGGTGTATTTTCGTCTCACACTGTTAAACCCGTCTTTTGATTGAGCAGCTTCGATACAGTCATTTAGTAGAATATGAAAGGGAATATTTGAGAGCCCATTGAGGCCTCTGGGGAAATAAGAAATATCTTCACCTAAAAACTAGACAAAATCTTTCTGAGAAACACCCTTGTGATGTGTGCATTCATCATACACAGTTGAACTTTCTTTTGATTGAGCAGTTTGGATACAGTCATTTGTATTATCTGTAAATGGATATTTGGAGTGTACTGAGGCCTATGGTGAAAAAGGAAATATCCTCACATAAAATTCAGATGGAAGCATTCTCAGAAACTCCCTTGTGATGTGTGCATTCATCTCACAGACTTCAAACTTTCTATTGATTGAGCAGTTTTGAAACACTCTTTTTGTAGAATCTGCAAGTGGATATTTGGAGCGCTCTGTGGCCCATAGTGGAAAAGGAAATATCTTCATAAAAAAAATAAAAAGAAGCACTTTGAGAAAGTTCTCTGTGTTGTATGCAGTCATATCTCAGACATGAAGCTTTCTTTGGTACAGCAGTTTTAAAACACTCTTTTTGGAGATTCTGAAAGTAGATATTTGGAGAGACTTGAGGACTACGTTGGAAAAGGAAATATCTTCACAAAAAAACTAGACAGAAACATTCTGAGAAGCTTCTTTGTGATGTGTGCATCCATCTCAAAGAGTTGAACCTTTCTTTTGATTGAGCATTTTTGAAGCACTCTTTTTGTAGAATCTTCAAGTGGATATTTGGAGTGTTTGTGGCCTGTGGTGGAAAAGGAAATATATTCACATAAAAACTAGATAGAAGCATTCTGAGAAACTTCTTTGTGATGTGCTCATTCAACTCACAGAGTTGAGCTTTTCTTTTGATTGAGCAGTTTGGAAACAGTCTTTTTGTAGAATCTGCACGTGGATATTTGGAGCGCATGACGGCCTATAGTGGAAAAGGAAATATATTCACATAAAAACTAGACAGAAGCATTCTGAGAAACTTCTTTGTGATGTGCTCATTCAACTCACAGAGTTGAACTTTTCTTTTGTTTGAGCAGTTTGCAAACAGTCTTTTTGTAGAATCTGCAAGTGGATATTAGGAGTGCATTACGGCCTATAGTGGAGAATGAAATATCTTCACATTAAAACTAGACAGAAACATTATGAGA
Organism: Homo sapiens; assembly: GCF_000001405.40. Lineage (NCBI taxonomy): Eukaryota > Metazoa > Chordata > Mammalia > Primates > Hominidae > Homo > Homo sapiens. The sequence goes on from NC_000021.9 coordinate 10,941,695, forward strand.
AACTGCTTTGTGATGTGTGCATTCATCACCAGAGTTGAGTTTCTCTTTTGATTGAACAGTTTTCAAACACTCTTTCTGTAGAATCTGAAAGGGATATTTGGAGCGCTTTGCAGCCTATGGTGAAAAAGGAAATATTTTCACATAAAAGCTAGACAGAAGCATTCTAAGAAAGTGCTTTGTGATGTGTGCATTCATCTCACAGTGTTGAACCTTTCTTTTGAATGAGCAGTTTTGAAACACTCTTATTGTAGAATCTGCAAGTGGATATTTGGAGAGTTTGAGGCCACTGGTGGAAAAGCAAATATCTTCACATCAAAACTAGACAGAATCATTATAAGTAATCTCTTTGAGATGCGTGCATTCAACTCACAGAGTTGGACGTTTCCTTTGATTGAGCAGTTTGGAAACAGTCTTTTTGCAGTATCTGCAAGCGGATATTTGGAGCACTTTCAGGCCTATAGTAGGAAAGGAAATATCTTCACATAAAAACTAGACAGAAGCATTCTGAGAAACTTCTTTGTGATGTGTGCATTCATCTCACAAAGTTGAAACTTTCTTTTGATTGAGCCGTTTGGAAACACTATTTTAGTAGAAACTGCAAGGGGATATTTGGAGCGTTTTGTGGTCTATGGTAGAAAAGGATATATCTTCACATAAAAATAGAAGCATTCTGAGGAACTTCCTGATGTGTGCATTCATCTCAAAGAGTTGAACTTTTCTTTTGATTGAGCAGCTTTGAAAAACCCTTTCTGCAGAATCTGCAAGTTGATATTTGGAGCGCTTTGTGGCCTATAGTAGAAAAGGAAATATCTTTACTTAAAACTAGACAGAAGCATTCTGAGAAACTTCTTTGTGATGTGTGCACTCATGTCACAGAGTTGAAACTTTCTTTTGTTTGAGCAGTTTTGAAACTCTCTTTTTGTAGAATCTTCAAGTGTATATTTTTAGCACTTTGAGGCCTATGGTGGAAAAGAAAATGTCTTCACATAAAAACTAGTCAGAAGCATTCTGAGAAACTTCTTTGTGACGTGTGCATTCAACTCATGGAGTTCAACCTTTCTTTTGATTCAGCAGTTTGGAAACAGTCTTTTTACAGTATCTGCAAATGGCTATTTGGAGAGCTTTGACACCTATGGTGGAAAAGGAAATCTCTTCTCATAAAAACTAGACAGCTACTTTCTGAGAAACTATTTTGTCGTGTGTGACTTCTACTCACCGGGTTGAAACTTTCTCTTGATTGAGCAGTTTGGAAACAGTCTTTTTGTAGAATCTGCAAATTGATATTTGGAGTGCTTTTGGCCTACGTTGAAAAACGAAATATCTTCCCATAAAAAGTAGGCAGAAGTTTTGGAGAAATTTATTTTGATGTGTGCATTCATCTCGCACAGTTGAAATTTTCTTTTGATTGAGCAGTGTGGATACATTCGTTTTGTAGAGTCTGCAAGTGGATATTTGGAGCACTTTGTGGCCTACAGTGAAAAAGGAAATATCTTCACATAAAAACTAGATAGAAGAATTCTGAGAAACTTCCGTTGAATGGGCGCATTCATCTCACACTGTTGAACTTTTTTTTTGATTCAGCACCTTCTAAACAGTCATTTTGTAGAATATGCAAAGGAATATTTGTGAGCCCATTGATGCCTCTGGGGAAACAGGAAATATCTTCACATAAAAACGAGACAGAATCTTTATCAGAAACGTCTTGGTGATGTGTGCATTCATCTCACTGAGTTGAACTTTAATTTGATTGAGCAGTTTGGAAACAGTCTTTTCTAGTATCTGCAAATGGATATTTTAAGCACTCTAAGGCCTACGGTGAAAAAGGAAATATCTTCAATATAAATCAGACAGAAGCATTCATAGAAACTTCTTTGTGATGTGTGCATACATCTCACCGACTAGAACCTTTCTTTTCATTGAGCAGTTTTGAAACACTCTTTTAGCGGAATCTGCAAGTGTTTATTTGGAGCGCATGAGGAATATGGTGGAAAAGGAATCTTCTTCACATAAAAACGAGACGGAAGCATTCTGAGAAACTTCTCTGTGATGGATGCATTCATTTCACAGAGTTAAACCTTTCCTGTGATTGAGCGGTTTGGAAACAGTAGTTTTTTACAATCTGCAGAAGGATACTTGTGAGCTGATTGAGGTCTATGGGGTGATAAGAAATATGTTCACATAAAAACTAGATAGAAAATTTCTGAGACACTTCTTTGTGATATTTGCTTTCATCTCACAGAGTTAAAACTTTCTTTTGATTGAGCAGTTTGGGAAAAGTCTTTTTGTAGTATCTGGAAATGGATATTACCAGTGCTTTGAGACCTATGGTGAAAAAGGAAATATCTTCCCATAAATACAAGGCAGAAACTTTCTGAGAAACTTCTTTCTGATGTGTGCTTTCATCTCACAGATTTGAACTTTTCTTTTGATTGAGCAGTTTTGAAACAGTCTTTTTGTACAATCTGCAAGTGGATATTTGGGGCACTTTCAGGCCTATGGGGGAAAAGGACACATCTTCCAATAAAAACTAGACAGCAGAGTTCTGAGAAACTTCCTAGGAATGTGTGCTTTCTTCTCACACTGTTGAACCTTTCTTTTGATTGAGCAGCTTCGATACAGTCATTTAGTAGAATCTGAAAGAGAATATTTGCGAGCCCATTGAGGCCTCTTGGAAAGTAGGAAATATCTTCACCTAAAAACTAGACAAAAACTTTCTGAGAAACACCCTTGTGTTGTGTGCATTCATCATACACAGTTGAACTTTCTTTTGATTGAGCAGTTTGGATACAGTCATTTGTATTATCTGTAAATGGGTATTTGGAGTGTACTGAGGCCTATGGTGAAAAAGGAAATATCCTCACATAAAATTCAGATGGAAGCATATTGAGAAACTTCTCTGTGATGTGTCCATTCATCTCATAGAGTAAAATCTTCCTTTTGATTGAGCAGGTTTGAAACACTCTTTTTGTAGAATCTGCAAGTGGATATTTGGAGCGCTCTGTGGCCCATAGTGGAAAAGGAAATATCTTCATAAAAAAAATAAACAGAAGCACTTTGAGAAACTTCTCTGTGTTGTATGCAGTCATATCTCAGACATGAAAATTTCTTTGGTACAGCAGTTTTAAAACACTCTTTTTGGAGATTCTGAAAGTAGATATTTGGAGAGACTTGAGGACTACGGTGGAAAAGGAAACATCTTCACAAAAAAACTAGACAGAAACATTCTGAGAAGCTTCTTTGTGATGTGTGCGTCCATCTCGAAGAGTTGAACCTTTCTTTTGATTGAGCATTTTTGAAGCACTTTTTTTGTAGAATCTTCAAGTGGTTATTTGGAGTGTTTGTGGCCTCTGGTGGAAAAGGAAATATATTCACATAAAAACTAGATAGAAGCATTCTGAGAAACTTCTTTGTGATGTGCTCATTCAACTCACAGAGTTGAGCTTTTCTTTTGATTGAGCAGTTTGGAAACAGTCTTTTTGTAGAATCTGCAAGTGGATATTTGGAGCGCATGACGGCCTATAGTGGAAAAGGAAATATATTCACATAAAAACTAGACAGAAGCATTCTGAGAAACTTCTTTGTGATGTGCTCATTCAACTCACAGAGTTGAACTTTTCTTTTGTTTGAGCAGTTTGCAAACAGTCTTTTTGTAGAATCTGCAAGTGGATATTAGGAGTGCATTACGGCCTATAGTGGAAAATGAAATAACTTCACATAAAAAATAGACAGAAACATGATGAGAAACTGCTTTGTGATGCGTGCATTCATCACCAGAGTTGAGTTTCTCTTTTGATTGAACAGTTTTGAAACACTCTTTCTGTAGAATCTGAAAGGGATATTTGGAGCGCTTTGCAGCCTATGGTGAAAAAGGAAATATCTTCACATAAAAGCTAGACAGAAGCATTCTAAGAAAGTGCTTTGTGACGTGTGCATTCATCTCACAGTGTTGAACCTTTCTTTTGATTGAGCAGTTTTGAAACACTCTTATTGTAGAATCTGCAAGTGGATATTTGGAGAGTTTGAGGCCACTGGTGGAAAAGCAAATATCTTCACATCAAAACCAGACAGAATCATTATAAGTAATCTCTTTGAGATGCGTGCATTCAACTCACAGAGTTGGACATTTCCTTTGATTGAGCAGTTTGGAAACAGTCTTTTTGCAGTATCTGCAAGCGGATATTTGGAGCACTTTCAGGCCTATAGTAGGAAAGGAAATATCTTCACATAAAAACTAGACAGAAAATTACTGAGAAATTTCTCAGTGATGTGTGCATTCATCTCACAGAGTTGAAACTTTCTTTTGATTGAGCAGTTTGGAAACACTCTTTTAGTAGAAACTGCAAGGGGATATTTGGAGCACTTTGTGGTCTTTGGTAGAAAAGGATATATCTTCACATTAAAAATAGACAGAAGCATTCTGAGGAACTTCCTGATGTGTGCATTCATCTCAAAGAGTTGAAATTTTCTTTTGATTGAGCAGCTTTGAAAAACCCTTTCTGCAGAATCTGCAAGTTGATATTTGGAGCGCTTTGTGGCCTATAGTAGAAAAGGAAATATCTTTACTTAAAACTAGACAGAAGTATTCTGAGAAACTTCTTTGTGATGTGTGCATTCATCTCACAGAGTTGAATCTTTCTTTTGTTTGAGCAGTTTTGAAACTCTCTTTCTGTAGAATCTTCAAGTGGATATTTTCAGCGCTTTGAGGCCTATCTTGGAAAAGAAAATATCTTCCCATAAAAACTAGTCAGAACCATTCTGAGAAACTTCTTTATGACGTGTGCATTCAACTCATGGAGTTCAACCTTTCTTTTGATTCAGCAGTTTGGAAACAGTCTTTTTACAGTATCTGCAAATGGCTATTTGGAGAGCTTTGAGGCCTATGGTGGAAAAGGAAATCTCTTCCCATTAAAACTAGGCAGCAGCATTCTGAGAAACTTATTTGTGATCTGTGCATTCATCTCCCAGAGTTGAACCTTTCTTTTGATTCAGCAGTTTTGAAACTGCCTTTTTGTAGAATCTGCAAAGGAATATTTGTGAGCCCATTGAGGCTTCTGGGGTGATAGGAAATATCTTCACGTAAAAACTAGACAGATAATTTCTGAGAAACTATTTTGTCATGTGTGACTTCTACTCACCGGGTTGAAACTTTCTCTTGATTGAGCAGTTTGGAAACAGTCTTTTTGTAGAATCTGCAAATTGATATTTGGAGTGCTTTTGGCCTACGTTGAAAAACGAAATATCTTCCCATAAAAAGTAGGCAGAAGTTTTGGAGAAATTTATTTTGATGTGTGCATTCATCTCACACAGTTGAAATTTTCTTTTGATTGAGCAGTGTGGATACACTCGTTTTGTAGAGTCTGCAAGTGGATATTTGGAGCACTTTGTGGCCTATAGTGAAAAAGGAAATATCTTCACATAAAAACTAGATAGAAGAATTCTGAGAAACTTCCTTTGAATGTGTGCATTCATCTCACAGTGTTGAACTTTTTTCTTGATTGAGCAGCTTCTAAACAGTCATTTTGTAGAATATGCAAAGGAATATTTGTGAGCCCATTGATGCCTCTGGGGAAATAGGAAATATCTTCAAATAAAAACTAGACAGAATCTTTCTCAGAAACGTCTTTGTGATGTGTGCATTCATCTCACTGAGTTGAACTTTACTTTGATTGAGCAGTTTGGAAACAGTCTTTTCTAGTATCTGCAAATGGATATTTTAAGCACTCTGAGGCCTACGGTGAAAAAGGAAATATCTTCAATATAAATCAGACAGAAGCATTCATAGAAACTTCTTTGTGATGTGTGCATTCATCTCACCGACTAGAACCTTTCTTTTGGTTGAGCAGTTTTGAAACACTCTTTTAGCGGAATCTGCAAGTGTTTATTTGGAGCGCATGAGGAATATGGTGGAAAAGGAATCTTCTTCACATGAAAACGAGACGGAAGCATTCTGAGAAACTTCTCTGTGATGGATGCATTCATTTCACAGAGTTAAAACTTTCCTGTGATTGAGCGGTTTGGAAACAGTAGTTTTTTACAATCTGCAGAAGGATACTTGTGAGCCGATTGAGGTCTATGGGGTGATAAGAAATATGTTCACATAAAAACTAGATAGAAAGTTTCTGAGAAACTTCTTTGTGATATTTGCTTTTATCTCCTAGAGTTGAAACTTTCTTTTTATTGAGCAGTTTGGGAACAGTCTTTTTGTAGTATCTGCAAATGGATATTACCAGTGCTTTGAGGCCTATGGTGAAAAAGGAAATATCTTCACATAAAAACAAGGCGGAAGCATTCTGAGAAACTTATATTTGATGTCTGCATTCATCTCTCAGAGTTGAACCTTTCTTTTGATTGAGCAGTTTTGAGAAGCTCTATTTGTAGTATCTGCAAGTGGATATTTGGAACGCTTTGAGGCCTATAGTGGAAAAGGAAATATCTTCACATAAAAAACTAGAAAGAAGAATTCTGAGAAACTTCCTAGGAAGGTGTATTTTCGTCTCACACTGTTAAACCTGTCTTTTGATTGAGCAGCTTTGATACAGTCATTTAGTAGAATATGAAAGGGAATATTTGAGAGCCCATTGAGGCCTCTGGGGAAATAAGAAATATCTTCACCTAAAAACTAGACAAAAACTTTCTGAGAAATACCCTTGTGTTGTGTGCATTCATCATACACAGTTGAACTTTCTTTTGATTGAGCAGTTTGGATACAGTCATTTGTATTATCTGTAAATGGGTATTTGGAGTGTACTGAGGCCTATGGTGAAAAAGGAAATATCCTCACATAAAATTCAGATGGAAGCATTCTTAGAAACTCCTTTGTGATGTGTGCATTCATCTCACAGACTTCAAACTTTCTATTGATTGAGCAGTTTTGAAACACTCTTTTTGTAGAATCTGCCAGTGGATATTTGGAGCGCTCTGTGGCCAATAGTGGAAAAGGAAATATCTTCATAAAAAAAATAAACAGAAGCACTTTGAGAAACTTCTCTGTGTTGTATGCAGTCATATCTCAGACATGAAAATGTCTTTGGTACAGCAGTTTTAAAACACTCTTTTTGGAGATTCTGAAAGTAGATATTTGGAGAGACTTGAGGACTACGGTGGAAAAGGAAATATCTTCACAAAAAAACTAGACAGGAACATTCTGAGAAGCTTCTTTGTGATGTGTGCATCCATCTCAAAGAGTTGAACCTTTCTTTTCATTGAGCATTTTTGAAGCACTCTTTTTGTAGAAACTTCAAGTGGATATTTGGAGTGTTTGTGGCCTGTGGTGGAAAAGGAAATATATTCACATAAAAACTAGATAGAAGCATTCTGAGAAACTTCTTTGTGATGTCCTCATTCAACTCACAGAGTTGAGCTTTTCTTTTGATTGAGCAGTTTGGAAACAGTCTTTTTGTAGAATCTGCAAGTGGATATTTGGAGCGCATGACGGCCTATAGTGGAAAAGGAAATATATTCACATAAAAACTAGACAGAAGCATTCTGAGAAACTTCTTCGTGATGTGCTCATTCAACTCACAGAGTTGAACTTTTCTTCTGTTTGAGCAGTTTGGAAACAGTCTTTTTGTAGAATCTGCAAGTGGATATTAGGAGTGCATTACGGCCTATAGTGGAAAATGAAATATCTTCACATAAAAACTAGACAGAAACATTATGAGAAACTGCTTTGTGATGCGTGCATTCATCACCAGAGTTGAATTTCTCTTTTGATTGAACAGTTTTGAAACACTCTTTCTGTAGAATCTGAAAGGGATATTTGGAGCGCTTTGCAGCCTATGGTGAAAAAGAAATATCTTCACATATAAGCTAGACAGAAGCATTCTGAGAAGGTGGTTTGTGATGTGTGCATTCATCTCACAGAGTTAAACCTTTCTTTGGATTGAGCAGTTTTGAAACACTCTTATTGTACAATCTGCAAGTGGATATTTGGAGAGTTTGAGGCCACTGGTGGAAAAGCAAATATCTTCACATAAAAACTAGAGAGAATCATTATAAGTAATCTCTTTGAGATGCGTGCATTCAACTCACAGAGTTGGACATTTCCTTTGATTGAGCAGTTTGGAAACAGTCTTTTTGCAGTATCTGCAAACGGATATTTGGAGCACTTTCAGGCCTATAGTAGGAAAGGAAATATCTTCACATAAAAACTAGACAGAAAATTACTGAGAAACTTCTTAATGATGTGTGCATTCATCTCACAGAGTTGAAACTTTCTTTTGATTGAGCCGTTTGGAAACACTCTTTTAGTAGAAACTGCAAGGGGATATTTGGAGCGTTTTGTGGTCTATGGTAGAAAAGGATATATCTTCACATAAAAATAGAAGCATTCTGAGGAACTTCCTGATGTGTACATTCATCTCAAAGAGTTGAACTTTTCTTTTGATTGAGCAGCTTTGAAAAACTCTTTCTGCAGAATCTGCAAGTTGATATTTGGGGTGCTTTGTGGCCTATAGTAGAAAAGGAAATATCTTTACATAAAACTAGACAGAAGCATTCTGAGAAACTTCTTTGTGATGTGTGCATTCATCTCACAGAGTTCAATCTTTCTTTTGTTTGAGCAGTTTTGAAACTCTCTTTTGGTAGAATCTTCAAGTGGATATTTTCAGCGCTTTGAGGCCTACGGTGGAAAAGAAAATATCTTCACATAAAAACTAGTCAGAAGCATTCTGAGAAACTTCTTTGTGACGTGTGCATTCAACTCATGGAGTTCAACCTTTCTTTTGATTCAGCAGTTTGGAAACAGTCTTTTTACAGTATCTGCAAATGGCTATTTGGAGAGCTTTGACGCCTATGGTGGAAAAGGAAATCTCTTCTCATAAAAACTAGACAGCTACTTTCTGAGAAACTATTTTGTCATGTGTGACTTCTACTCACCGGGTTGAAACTTTCTGTTGATTGAGCAGTTTGGAAACAGTCTTTTTGTAGAATCTGCAAATTGATATTTGGAGTGCTTTTGGCCTACGTTGAAAAACGAAATATCTTCCCATAAAAAGTAGGCAGAAGTTTTGGAGAAATTTATTTTGATGTGTGCACTCATCTCACACAGTTGAAATTTTCTTTTGATTGAGCAGTGTGGATACACTCGTTTTGTAGAGTCTGCAAGTGGATATTTGGAGCACTTTGTGGCCTATAGAGAAAAAGGAAATATCTTCACATAAAAACTAGATAGAAGAATTCTGAGAAACTTCCTTTGAGTGGGCGCATTCATCTCACACTGTTGAACTTTTTTTTTGATTGAGCACCTTCTAAACAGTCATTTTGTAGAATATGCAAAGGAATATTTGTGAGCCCATTGATGCTTCTGGGGAAACAGGAAATATCTTCACATAAAAACGAGACAGAATCTTTCTCAGAAACGTCTTGGTGATGTGTGCATTCATCTCACTGAGTTGAACTTTATTTTGATTGAGCAGTTTGGAAACAGTCTTTTCTAGTATCTGCAAATGGATATTTTAAGCACTCTGAGGCCTACGGTGAAAAAGGAAATATCTTCAATATAAATCAGACAGAAGCATTCATAGAAACTTCTTTGTGATGTGTGCATTCATCTCACCGACTAGAACCTTTCTTTTGATTGAGCAGTTTTGAAACACTCTTTTAGCGGAATCTGCAAGTGTTTATTTGGAGCGCATGAGGAATATGGTGGAAAAGGAATCTTCTTCACATGAAAACGAGACGGAAGCATTCTGAGAAACTTCTCTGTGATGGATGCATTCATTTCACAGAGTTAAACCTTTCCTGTGATTGAGCGGTTTGGAAACAGTATTTTTTTACAATCTGCAGAAGGATACTTGTGAGCCGATTGAGGTCTATGGGGTGATAAGAAATATGTTCACATAAAAACTAGATAGAAAGTTTCTGAGAAACTTCTTTGTGATATTTGCTTTTATCTCCTAGAGTTGAAACTTTCTTTTTATTGAGCAGTTTGGGAACAGTCTTTTTGTAGTATCTGCAAATGGATATTACCAGTGCTTTGAGGCCTATGGTGAAAAAGGAAATATCTTCACATAAAAACAAGGCAGAAGCATTCTGAGAAGCTTCTTTTTCATGTCTGCATTCATCTCGCAGTGTTGAAACTTTCTTTTGATTGAGCAGTTTTGAAACGCTCTATTTGTAGTATCTGCAAGTGGATATTTGGAACGCTTTGAGGCCTATAGTGGAAAAGGAAATATCTTCACATAAAAAACTAGAAAGAAGAATTCTGAGAAACTTCCTAGGAAGGTGTATTTTCGTCTCACACTGTTAAACCCGTCTTTTGATTGAGCAGCTTCGATACAGCCATTTAGTAGAATATGAAAGGGTATATTTGAGAGCCCATTGAGGCCTCTGGGGAAATAAGAAATATCTTCACCTAAAAACTAGACAAAAACTTTCTGAGAAACACCCTTGTGATGTGTGCATTCATCATACAAAGTTGAACTTTCTTTTGATTGAGCAGTTTGGATACAGTCATTTGTATTATCTGTAAATGGATATTTGGAGTGTACTGAGGCCTATGGTGAAAAAGGAAATATCCTCACATAAAATTCAGATGGAAGCATTCTTAGAAACTCCTATGTGATGTGTGCATTCATCTCACAGACTTCAAACTTTCTATTGATTGAGCAGTTTTGAAACACTCTTTTTGTAGAATCTGCCAGTGGATATTTGGAGCGCTCTGTGGCCCATAGTGGAAAAGGAAATATCTTCATAAAAAAAATAAACAGAAGCACTTTGAGAAAGTTCTCTGTGTTGTATGCAGTCATAAATCAGACATGAAACTTTCTTTGGTACAGCAGTTTTGAAACACTCTTTTTGGAGATTCTGAAAGTAGATATTTGGAGAGACTTGAGGACTACGGTGGAAAAGGAAATATCTTCACAAAAAAACTAGACAGAAACATTCTGAGAAGCTTCTTTGTGATGTGTGCATCCATCTCAAAGAGTTGAACCTTTCTTTTGATTGACCATTTTTGAAGCACTCTTTTTGTAGAATCTTCAAGTGGATATTTGGAGTGTTTGTGGCCTGTGGTGGAAAAGGAAATATATTCACATAAAAACTAGATAGAAGCATTCTGAGAAACTTCTTTGTGATGTGCTCATTCAACTCACAGAGTTGAGCTTTTCTTTTGATTGAGCAGTTTGGAAACAGTCTTTCTGTAGAATCTGCAGGTGGATATTTGGAGCGCATTACGGCCTATAGTGGAAAAGGAAATATATTCACATAAAAACTAGACAGAAGCATTCAGAGAAACCTCTTTGTGATGTGCTCATTCAACTCACAGAGTTGATCTTTTCTTTTGTTTGAGCAGTTTGCAAACAGTCTTTTTGTAGAATCTGCAAGTGGATATTAGGAGTGCATTACGGCCTATAGTGGAGAATGAAATATCTTCACATAAAAACTAGACAGAAACATTATGAGAAACTGCTCTGTGATGCGTGCATTCATCACCAGGGTTGAACCTTTCTTTTGATTGAACAGTTTTGAAACACTCTTTCTGTAGAATCTGAAGGGGATATTTGGAACGCCTTGCGGCCTATGGTGAAAAACGAAATATCTTCACATAAAAACTAGACAGATGCATTCTGAGAAAGTGCTTTGTGAGGTGTACATTCATCTCACAGAGTTAAACCTTTCTTTTGATTGAGCAGTTTTGAAACACTCTTATTGTACAATCTGCAAGTGGATATTTGGAGAGTTTGAGGCCACTGGTGGAAAAGCAAATATCTTCACATAAAAACTAGACAGAACCATTCTGAGAAATCTCTTTGAGATGCGTGCATTCAACTCACAGAGTTGGACCTTTCCTTTGATTGAGCAGTTTGGAAACAGTCTTTTTGCAGTATATGCAAATGGATATTTGGAGCACTTTCAGGCCTATAGTAGGAAAGGAAATATCTTCACATAAAAACTAGACAGAAAATTACTGAGAAACTTCTTAATGATGTGTGCATTCATCTCACAGAGTTGAAACTTTCTTTTGATTGAGCCGTTTGGAAACACTCTTTTAGTAGAAACTGCAAGGAGATATTTGGAGCATTTTGTGGTCTATGGTAGAAAAGGATATATCTTCACATAAAAATAGAAGCATTTTGAGGAACTTCATGATGTGTGCATTCATCTCAAAGAGTTGAACTTTTCTTTTGATTGAGTAGCTTTGAAAAACTCTTTCTGCAGAATCTGCAAGTTGATATTTGGAGTGCTTTGTGACCTATAGTAGAAAAGGAAATATCTTTACTTAAAACTAGACAGAAGCATTCTGAGAAACTTCTTTGTGATGTGTGCATTCATCTCACAGAGTTGAATCTTTCTTTTGTTTGAGCAGTTTTGAAACTCTCTTTCTGTAGAATCTTCAAGTGGATATTTTCAGCGCTTTGAGGCCTATGGTGGAAAAGAAAATATCTTCACATAAAAAGTAGTCAGAAGCATTCTGAGAAACTTCTTTGTGACGTGTGCATTCAACTCATGGAGTTCAACCTTTCTTTTGATTCAGCAGTTTGGAAACAGTCTTTTTACAGTATCTGCAAATGGATATTTGGAGAGCTTTGAGGCCTATGGTGGAAAAGGAAATCTCTTCCCATAAAAACTAGACAGCTACTTTCTGAGAAACTATTTTGTCATGTGTGACTTCTACTCACCGGGTTGAAACTTTCTGTTGATTGAGCAGTTTGGAAACAGTCTTTTTGTAGAATCTGCAAATTGATATTTGGAGCGCTTTTGGCCTACGTTGAAAAACGAAATATCTTCCCATAAAAAGTAGGCAGAAGTTTTGGAGAAATTTATTTTGATGTGTGCATTCATCTCGCACAGTTGAAATTTTCTTTTGATTGAGCAGTGTGGATACATTCGTTTTGTAGAGTCTGCAAGTGGATATTTGGAGCACTTTCTGGCCTACAGTGAAAAAGGAAATATCTTCACATAAAAACTAGATAGAAGAATTCTGAGAAACTTCCTTTGAATGTGCACGTTCATCTCACAGTGTTGCACTTTTTTTTTTTGACTGAGCACCTTCTAAACAGTCATTTTGTAGAATATGCAAAGGAATATTTGTGAGCCCATTGATGCCACTGGGGAATTAGGAAATATCTTCACATAAAAACTAGACAGATAATCTTTCTCAGAAACGTCTTGGTGATGTGTGCATTCATCTCACTGAGTTGAACTTTATTTTGATTGAGCAGTTTGGAAACAGTCTTTTCTAGTATCTGCAAATGGATATTTTAAGCACTCTGAGGCCTACGGTGAAAAAGGAAATATCTTCAATATAAATCAGACAGAAGCATTCATAGAAACTTCTTTGTGATGTGTGCATTCATCTCACCGACTAGAACCTTTCTTTTGATTGAGCAGTTTTGAAACACTCTTTTAGCGGAATCTGCAAGTGTTTATTTGGAGCACATGAGGAATATGGTGGAAAAGGAATCTTCTTCACATAAAAACGAGACGGAAGCATTCTGAGAAATTTTTCTGTGATGGGTGCATTCATTTCACAGAGTTGAACCCTTCCTGTGATTGAATGGTTTGGAAACAGTCGTTTTGTATAAGCTGCAGAAGGATATTTGTGAGCCGATTGAGGCCTATGGGGCGATAGGAAATATGTTCACATAAAAACCAGATAGAAAGTTTCTGAGAAACTTCTTTGTGATATTAGCTTTTATCTCATAGAGTTGAAAATTTCTTTTTATTGAGCAGTTTGGGAACAGTCTTTTTGTAGTATCTGCAAATGGATATTACCAGTGCTTTGAGGCCTATGGTGAAAAAGGAAATATCTTCACATAAAAACAAGGCGGAAGCATTCTGAGAAACTTCTTTTTGATGTCTGCATTCATCTCACAGAGTTGAACCTTTCTTTTGATTGAGCAGTTTTGAAAGGCTCTATTTGTAGGATCTGCAAGTGGATATTTGGAACGCTTTGAGGCCTATAGTGGAAAACGAAATATCTTCACATAAAAACCTAGAAAGAAGAATTCTGAGAAACTTCCTAGGAAGGTGTATTTTCGTCTCACACTGTTAAACCCGTCTTTTGATTGAGCAGCTTCGATACAGCCATTTAGTAGAATATGAAAGGGAATATTTGAGAGCCCATTGAGGCCTCTGGGGAAATAAGAAATATCTTCACCTAAAAACTAGACAAAAACTTTCTGAGAAACACCCTTGTGATGTGTGCATTCATCATACACAGTGGAACGTTCTTTTGATTGAGCAGTTTGGATACAGTCATTTGTATTATCTGTAAATGGATATTTGGAGTGTACTGAGGCCTATGGTGAAAAAGGAAATATCCTCACATAAAATTCAGATGGAAGCATTCTTAGAAACTCCTTTGTGATGTGTACATTCATCTCACAGACTTCAAACTTTCTATTGATTGAGCAGTTTTGAAACACTCTTTTTGTAGAATCTGCCAGTGGATATTTGGAGCGCTCTGTGGCCCATAGTGGAAAAGGAAATATCTTCATAAGAAAAATAAACAGAAGCACTTTGAGAAACTTCTCTGTGTTGTATGCAGTCATATTTCAGACATGAAACTTTCTTTGGTACCGCAGTTTTAAAACACTCTTTTTGGAGATTCTGAAAGTAGATATTTGGAGAGACTTGAGGACTACGGTGGAAAAGGAAATATCTTCACAAAAAAACTAGACAGAAACATTCTGAGAAGCTTCTTTGTGATGTGTGCATCCATCTCAAAGAGTTGAACCTTTCTTTTGATTGAGCATTTTTGAAGCACTCTTTTTGTAGAAACTTCAAGTGGATATTTGGAGTGTTTGTGGCCTGTGGTGGAAAAGGAAATATATTCACATAAAAACTAGATAGAAACATTCTGAGAAGCTTCTTTGTGATGTGCTCATTCATCTCACAGAGTTGAACTTTTCTTTTGATTGAGCACTTTGGAAACAGTCTTTTTGTAGAATCTGCAGGTGGATATTTGGAGCACATTACGGCCTATAGTGGAAAAGGAAATATATTCACATAAAAACTAGACAGAAACATTCTGAGAAACTTCTTTGTGATGTGCTCATTCAACTCACAGAGTTGAACTTTTCTTTTGTTTGAGCAGTTTGCAAACAGTCTTTCTGTAGAATCTGCAAGTGGATATTAGGAGTGCATTACGGCCTATAGTGGAAAATGAAATAACTTCACATAAAAACTAGACAGAAACATTATGAGAAACTGCTTTGTGATGCGTGCATTCATCACCAGAGTTGAGTTTCTCTTTTGATTGAACAGTTTTGAAACACTCTTTCTGTAGAATCTGAAAGGGATATTTGGAGCGCTTTGCAGCCTATGGTGAAAAAGGAAATATCTTCACATAAAAGCTAGACAGAAGCATTTTAAGAAAGTGCTTTGTGACGTGTGCATTCATCTCACAGTGTTGAACCTTTCTTTTGATTGAGCAGTTTTGAAACACTCTTATTGTAGAATCTGCAAGTGGATATTTGGAGAGTTTGAGGCCACTGGTGGAAAAGCAAATATCTTCACATCAAAACTAGTCAGAATCATTATAAGTAATCTCTTTGAGATGCGTGCATTCAACTCACAGAGTTGGACATTTCCTTTGATTGAGCAGTTTGGAAACAGTCTTTTTGCAGTATCTGCAAACGGATATTTGGAGCACTTTCAGGCCTATAGTAGGAAAGGAAATATCTTCACATAAAAACCATACAGAAAATTACTGAGAAACTTGTTAGTGATGTGTGCATTCATCTCACAGAGTTGAAACTTTCTTTTGATTGAGCAGTTTGGAAACACTCTTTTAGTAGAAACTGCAAGGGGATATTTGGAGCACTTTGCGGTCTTTGGTAGAAAAGGATATATCTTCACATAAAAAATAGACAGAAGCATTCTGAGGAACTTCTTAATGATGTGTGCATTCGTCTCACAGAGTTGAACTTTTCTTTTGATTGAGAGCTTGAAAAACTCTTTCTGCAGAATCTGCACGTTGATATTTGGAGTGCTTTGAGGCCTACAGTGGAAAAGGAAATATATTCACATAAAACTAGACAGAAGCATTCTGAGAAACTTCTTTGTGATGTGTGCATTCATCTCACAGAGTTGAATCTTTCTTTTGTTTGAGCAGTTTTGAAACTCTCTTTCTGTAGAATCTTCAAGTGGATATTTTCAGCGCTTTGAGGCCTATGGTGGAAAAGAAAATATCTTCACATAAAAACTAGTCAGAAGCATTCTGGGAAATTTTTGTGACGTGTGCATTCAACTCATGGAGTTCAACCTTTCTTTTGATTCAGCAGTTTGGAAACAGTCTTTTTACAGTATCTGCAAATGGCTATTTGGAGAGCTTTGAGGCCTATGGTGGAAAAGGAAATATCTTCCCATAAAAACTAGACAGCAGCATTCTGAGAAACTTATTTGTGATCTGTGCATTCATCTCACAGAGTTGAACCTTTCTTTTGATTCAGCAGTTTTGAAACTGTCGTTTTGTAGAATCTGCAAATTGATATTTGGAGTGCTTTTGACCTACGTTGAAAAACGAAATATCTTCCCATAAAAAGTAGGCAGATACTTTCTGAGAAACTATTTTGTCATGTGTGACTTCTACTCACCGGGTTGAAACTTTCTGTTGATTGAGCAGTTTGGAAACAGTCTTTTTGTAGAATCTGCAAATTGATATTTGGAGTGCTTTTGGCCTACGTTGAAAAACTAAATATCTTCCCATAAAAAGTAGGCAGAAGTTTTGGAGAAATTTATTTTGATGTGTGCATTCATCTCACACAGTTGAAATTTTCTTTTGATTGAGCAGTGTGGATACACTCGTTTCGTAGAGTCTGCAAGTGGATATTTGGAGCACTTTGTGGCCTATAGTGAAAAAGGAAATATCTTCACATAAAAACTAGATAGAAGAATTCTGAGAAACTTCCTTTGAATGGGCGCATTCATCTCACACTGTTGAACTTTTTTTTTGATTGAGCACCTTCTAAAGAGTCATTTTGTAGAATCTGCAAAGGAATATTTGTGAGCCCATTGATGCCTCTGGGGAAACAGGAAATATCTTCACATAAAAACGAGACAGAATCTTTCTCAGAAACGTCTTGGTGATGTGTGCATTCATCTCACTGAGTTGAACTTTAATTTGATTGAGCAGTTTGGAAACAGTCTTTTCTAGTATCTGCAAATGGATATTTTAAGCACTCTGAGGCCTACGGTGAAAAAGGAAATATCTTCAATATAAATCAGACAGAAGCATTCATAGAAACGTCTTTGTGATGTGTGCATTCATCTCACCGACTAGAACCTGTCTTTTGATTGAGCAGTTTTGAAACACTCTTTTAGCGGAATCTGCAAGTGTTTCTTTGGAGCGCATGAGGAATATGGTGGAAAAGGAATCTTCTTCACATAAAAACGAGACGGAAGCATTCTGAGAAACTTCTCTGTGATGGATGCATTCATTTCACAGAGTTAAACCTTTCCTGTGATTGAGCGGTTTGGAAACAGTAGATTTTTATAATCTGCAGAAGGATACTTGTGAGCCGATTGAGGTCTATGGGGTGATAAGAAATATGTTCACATAAAAACTAGATAGAAAGTTTCTGAGAAACTTCTTTGTGATATTTGCTTTTATCTCCTAGAGTTGAAACTTTCTTTTTATTGAGCAGTTTGGGAACAGTCTTTTTGTAATATCTGCAAATGGATATTACCAGTGCTTTGAGGCCTATGGTGAAAAAGGAAATATCTTCACATAAAAACAAGGCGGAAGCATTCTGAGAAAGTTTTTTTGATGTCTGCATTCATCTCACAGAGTTGAACCTTTCTTTTGATTGAGCAGTTTTGAAACGCTCTATTTGTAGTATCTGCAAGTGGATATTTGGAACGCTTTGAGGCCTATAGTGGAAAAGGAAATATCTTCACATAAAAAACTAGAAAGAAGAATTCTGAGAAACTTCCTAGGAAGGTGTATTTTCGTCTCACACTGTTAAACCCGTCTTTTGATTGAGCAGCTTCGATACAGTCATTTAGTAGAATATGAAAGGGAATATTTGAGAGCCCATTGAGGCCTCTGGGGAAATAAGAAATATCTTCACCTAAAAACAAGACAAAAACTTTCTGAGAAACACCCTTGTGATGTGTGCATTCATCATACACAGTTGAACTTTCTTTTGATTGAGCAGTTTGGATACAGTCATTTCTATTATCTGTAAATGGATATTTGGAGTGTACTGAGGCCTATGGTGAAAAAGGAAATATCCTCACATAAAATTCAGATGGAAGCATTCTTAGAAACTCCTATGTGATGTGTGCATTCATCTCACAGACTTCAAACTTTCTATTGACTGAGCAGTTTTGAAACACTCTTTTTGTAGAATCTGCCAGTGGATATTTGGAGCGCTCTGTGGCCCATAGTGGAAAAGGAAATATCTTCATAAAAAAAATAAACAGAAGCACTTTGAGAAACTTCTCTGTGTTGTATGCAGTCATATCTCAGACATGAAAATTTCTTTGGTACAGCAGTTTTAAAACACTCTTTTTGGAGATTCTGAAAGTAGATATTTGGAGAGACTTGAGGACTACGGTGGAAAAGGAAATATCTTCACAGAAAAACTAGACAGAAACATTCTGAGAAGCTTCTTTGTGATGTGTGCATCCATCTCAAAGAGTTGAAACTTTCTTTTGATTGAGCATTTTTGAAGCACTCTTTTTGTAGAATCTTCAAGTGGATATTTGGAGTGTTTGTGGCCTGTGGTGGAAAAGGAAATATATTCACATAAAAACTAGATAGAAGCATTCTGAGAAACTTCTTTGTGATGTGCTCATTCAACTCACAGAGTTGAGCTTTTCTTTTGATTGAGCAGTTTGGAAACAGTCTTTTTGTAGAATCTGCAGGTGGATATTTGGAGCGCATTACGGCCTATAGTGGAAAAGGAAATATATTCACATAAAATCTAGACAGAAGCATTCTGAGAAACTTCTTTGTGATGTGCTCATTCAACTCACAGAGTTGAACTTTTCTTTTGTTTGAGCAGTTTGCAAACAGTCTTTTTGTAGAATCTGCAAGTGGATATTAGGAGTGCATTACAGCCTATAGTGGAGAATGAAATATCTTCACATAAAAACTAGACAGAAACATTATGAGAAACTGCTTTGTGATGCGTGCATTCATCACCAGAGTTGAGTTTCTCTTTTGATTGAACAGTTTTGAAATACTCTTTCTGTAGAATCTGAAAGGGATATTTGGAGCGCTTTGCAGCCTATGGTGAAAAAGGAAATATCTTCACATAAAAGCTAGACAGAAGCATTCTAAGAAAGTGCTTTGTGACGTGTGCATTCATCTCACAGTGTTGAACCTTTCTTTTGATTGAGCAGTTTTGAAACACTCTTATTGTAGAATCTGCAACTGGATATTTGGAGAGTTTGAGGCCACTGGTGGAAAAGCAAATATCTTCACATCAAAACTAGACAGGATCATTATAAGTAATCTCTTTGAGATGCGTGCATTCAACTCACAGAGTTGGACATTTCCTTTGATTGAGCAGTGTGGAAACAGTCTTTTTGCAGTATCTGCAAACGGATATTTGCAGCACTTTCAGGCCTATAGTAGGAAAGGAAATATCTTCACATAAAAACTAGACAGAAAATTACTGAGAAACTTCTTAATGATGTGTGCATTCATCTCACAGAGTTGAAACTTTCTTTTGATTGAGCCGTTTGGAAACACTCTTTTCGTAGAAACTGCAAGGGGATATTTGGAGCGTTTTGTGGTCTATGGTAGAAAAGGATATATCTTCACATAAAAATAGAAGCATTCTGAGGAACTTCATGATGTGTGCATTCATCTCAAAGAGTTGAACTTGTCTTTTGACTGAGCAGCTTTGAAAAACTCTTTCTGCAGAATCTGCAAGTTGATATTTGGAATGCTTTGTGGCCTATAGTAGAAAAGGAAATATCTTTACATAAAACTAGACAGAAGCATTCTGAGAAACGTCTTTGTGACGTGTGCATTCATGTCACAGAGTTGAACCTTTCTTTTGTTTGAGCAGTTTTGAAACCCTCTTTTTGTAGAATCTTCAAGTGGATATTTTTAGCACTTTGGGGCCTATGGTGGAAAAGAAAACATCTTCACATAAAAACTAGTCAGAAGCATTCTGAGAAACTTCTTTGTGACGTGTGCATTCAACTCATGGAGTTCAACCTTTCTTTTGATTCAGCAGTTTGGAAACAGTCTTTTTACAGTATCTGCAAATGGCTATTTGGAGAGCTTTGAGGCCTATGGTGGAAAAGGAAATCTCTTCCCATAAAAACTAGACAGCTACTTTCTGAGAAACTATTTTGTCATGTGTGACTTCTACTCACCGGGTTGAAACTTTCTCTTGATTGAGCAGTTTGGAAACAGTCTTTTTGTAGAATCTGCAAATTGATATTTGGAGTGCTTTTGGCCTACGTTGAAAAACGAAATATCTTCCCATAAAAAGTAGGCAGAAGTTTTGGAGAAATTTATTTTGATGTGTGCACTCATCTCACACAGTTGAAATTTTCTTTTGATTGAGCAGTGTGGATACACTCGTTTTGTAGAGTCTGCAAGTGGATATTTGGAGCACTTTGTGGCCTATAGTGAAAAAGGAAATATCTTCACATAAAAACTAGATAGAAGAATTCTGAGAAACTTCCTTTGAATGGGCGCATTCATCTCACACTGTTGAACTTTTTTTTTGATTGAGCACCTTCTAAACAGTCATTTTGTAGAATATGCAAAGGAATATTTGTGAGCCCATTGATGCCTCTGGGGAAACAGGAAATATCTTCACATAAAAACGAGACAGAATCTTTCTCAGAAACGTCTTGGTGATGTGTGCATTCATCTCACTGAGTTGAACTTTACTTTGATTGAGCAGTTTGGAAACAGTCTTTTCTAGTATCTGCAAATGGATATTTTAAGCATTCTGAGGCCTACGGTGAAAAAGGAAATATCTTCAATATAAATCAGACAGAAGCATTCATAGAAACTGCTTTGTGATGTGTGCATTCATCTCACCGACTAGAACCTTTCTTTTGATTGAGCAGTTTTGAAACACTCTTTTAGCGGAATCTGCAAGTGTTTATTTGGAGCGCATGAGGAATATGGTGGAAAAGGAATATTCTTCACATGGAAACGAGACGGAAGCATTCTGAGAAACTTCTCTGTGATGGATGCATTCATTTCACAGAGTTAAACCTTTCCTGTGATTGAGCGGTTTGGAAACAGTAGTTTTTCATAATCTGCAGAAGGATACTTGTGAGCCGATTGAGGTCTATGGGGTGATAAGAAATATGTTCACATAAAAACTAGATAGAAAGTTTCTGAGAAACTTCTTTGTGATATTTGCTTTTATCTCATAGAGTTGAAACTTTCTTTTTATTGAGCAGTTTGGGAACAGTCTTTTTGTAGTATCTGCAAATGGATATTACCAGTGCTTTGAGGCCTATGGTGAAAAAGGAAATATCTTCACATAAAAACAAGGCAGAAGCATTCTGAGAAACTTCTTTTTGATGTCTGCATTCATCTCACAGAGTTGAACCTTTCCTTTGATTGAGCAGTTTTGAAACGCTCTATTTGTAGTATCTGCAAGTGGATATTTGGAACGCTTTGAGGCCTATAGTGGAAAAGGAAATATCTTCACATAAAAAACTAGAAAGAAGAATTCTGAGAAACTTCCTAGGAAGGTGTATTTTCGTCTCACACTGTTAAACCCCTCTTTTGATTGAGCAGCTTCGATACAGTCATTTAGTAGAATATGAAAGGGAATATTTGAGAGCCCATTGAGGCCTCTGGGGAAATAAGAAATATCTTCACCTAAAAACTAGACAAAAACTTTCTGAGAAACACCCTTGTGATGTGTGCATTCATCATACACAGTTGAACTTTCTTTTGATTGAGCAGTTTGGATACAGTCATTTGTATTATCTGTAAATGGATATTTGGAGTGTATTGAGGCCTATGGTGAAAAAGGAAATATCCTCACATAAAATTCAGATGGAAGCATTCTTAGAAACTCCTTTGTGGTGTGTGCATTCATCTCACAGACTTCAAACTTTCTATTGATTGAGCAGTTTTGAAACACTCTTTTTGTAGAATCTGCAAGTCGATATTTGGAGCGCTCTGTGGCCCATAGTGGAAAAGGAATTATCTTCATAAAAAAAATAAACAGAAGCACTTTGAGAAACTTCTCTGTGTTGTATGCAGTCATATCTCAGACATGAAACTTTCTTTGGTACAGCAGTTTTAAAACACTCTTTTTGGAGATTCTGAAAGTAGATATTTGGAGAGACTTGAGGACTACGGTGGAAAAGGAAATATCTTCACAAAAAAACTAGACAGAAACATTCTGAGAAAGCTTCTTTGTGATGTGTGCATCCATCTCAAAGAGTTGAACCTTTCTTTTGATTGAGCATTTTTGAAGCACTCTTTTTGTAGAAACTTCAAGTGGATATTTGGAGTGTTTGTGGCCTGTGGTGGAAAAGGAAATATATTCACATAAAAACTAGATAGAAGCATTCTGAGAAACTTCTTTGTGATGTGCTCATTCCACTCACAGAGTTGAGCTTTTCTTTTGATTGAGCAGTTTGGAAACAGTCTTTTTGTAGAATCTCCAGGTGGATATTTGGAGCGCATTACGGCCTATAGTGGAAAAGGAAATATATTCACATAAAAACTAGACAGAAGCATTCTGAGAAACTTCTTTGTGATGTGCTCATTCAACTCACAGAGTTGAACTTTTCTTTTGTTTGAGCAGTTTGCAAACAGTCTTTCTGTAGAATCTGCAAGTGGATATTAGGAGTGCATTACGGCCTATAGTGGAAAATGAAATATCTTCACATAAAAACTAGACAGAAACATTATGAGAAACTGCTTTGTGATGCGTGCATTCATTACCAGAGTTGAATTTCTCTTTTGATTGAACAGTTTTGAAACACTCTTTCTGTAGAATCTGAAAGGGATATTTGGAGCGCTTTGCAGCCTATGGTGAAAAAGGAAATATCTTCACATAAAAGCTAGACAGAGCATTCTAAGAAAGTGCTTTGTGACGTGTGCATTCATCTGACAGTGTTGAACCTTTCTTTTGATTGAGCAGATTTGAAACACTCTTATTGTAGAATCTGCAACTGGATATTTGGAGAGTTTGAGGCCACTGGTGGAAAAGCAAATATCTTCACATCAAAACTAGACAGGATCATTATAAGTAATCTCTTTGAGATGCCGTGCATTCAACTCACAGAGTTGGACATTTCCTTTGATTGAGCAGTTTGGAAACAGTCTTTATGCAGTATCTGCAAACGGATATTTGGAGCACTTTCAGGCCTATAGTAGGAAAGGAAATATCTTCACATAAAAACCATACAGAAAATTACTGAGAAACTTCTTAATGATGTGTGCATTCATCTCACAGAGTTGAAACTTTCCTTTGATTGAGCAGTTTGGAAACACTCTTTTAGTAGAAACTGCAAGGGGATATTTGGAGCGTTTTGTGGTCTATGGTAGAAAAGGTTATCTTCACATAAAAATAGAAGCATTCTGAGGAACTTCCTGATGTGTACATTCATCTCAAAGAGTTGAACTTTTCTTTTGATTGAGCAGCTTTGAAAAACTCTTTCTGCAGAATCTGCAAGTTGATATTTGGAGTGCTTTGTGGCCTATAGTAGAAAAGGAAATATCTTTACATAAAACTAGACAGAAGCATTCTGAGAAACTTCTTTGTGATGTGTGCATTCATCTCACGGAGTTGAATCTTTCTTTTGTTTGAGCAGTTTTGAAACTCTCTTTCTGTAGAATCTTCAAGTGGATATTTTCAGCGCTTTGAGGCCTATGGTGGAAAAGAAAATATCTTCACATAAAAACTAGTCAGAACCATTCTGAGAAACTTCTTTGTGACGTGTGCATTCAACTCATGGAGTTCAACCTTTCTTTTGATTCAGCAGTTTGGAAACAGTCTTTTTACAGTATCTGCAAATGGCTATTTGGAGAGCTTTGAGGCCTATGGTGGAAAAGGAATTATCTTCCCATAAAAACTAGACAGCAGCATTCTGAGAAACTTATTTGTGATCTGTGCATTCATCTCCCAGAGTTGAACCTTTCTTTTGATTCAGCAGTTTTGAAACTGTCGTTTTGTAGAATCTGCAAAGGAATATTTGTGAGCCCATTGAGGCTTCTGGGGTGATAGGAAATATCTTCACGTAAAAACTAGACAGATACTTTCTGAGAAACTATTTTGTCATGTGTGTCTTCTACTCACCGGGTTGAAACTTTCTGTTGATTGAGCAGTTTGGAAACAGTCTTTTTGTAGAATCTGCAAATTGATATTTGGAGTGCTTTTGGCCTACGTTGAAAAACGAAATATCTTCCCATAAAAAGTAGGCAGAAGTTTTGGAGAAAGTTATTTTGATGTGTGCATTCATCTCACACAGTTGAAATTTTCTTTTGATTGAGCAGTGTGGATACACTCGTTTTGTAGAGTCTGCAAGTGGATATTTGGAGCACTTTGTGGCCTATAGTGAAAAAGGAAATATCTTCACATAAAAACTAGATAGAAGAATTCTGAGAAACTTCCTTTGAATGGGCGCATTCATCTCACACTGTTGAACTTTTTTTTTGATTGAGCACCTTCTAAACAGTCATTTTGTAGAATATGCAAAGGAATATTTGTGAGCCCATTGATGCCTTCTGGGGAAACAGGAAATATCTTCACATAAAAACGAGACAGAATCTTTCTCAGAAACGTCTTGGTGATGTGTGCATTGATCTCACTGAGTTGAACTTTACTTTGATTGAGCAGTTTGGAAACAGTCTTTTCTAGTATCTGCAAATGGATATTTTAAGCACTCTGAGGCCTACGGTGAAAAAGGAAATATCTTCAATATAAATCAGACAGAAGCATTCATAGAAACTTCTTTGTGATGTGTGCATTCATCTCACCGACTAGAACCTTTCTTTTCATTGAGCAGTTTTGAAACACTCTTTTAGCGGAATCTGCAAGTGTTTATTTGGAGCGCATGAGGAATATGGTGGAAAAGGAATCTTCTTCACATAAAAACGAGACGGAAGCATTCTGAGAAACTTCTCTGTGATGGATGCATTCATTTCACAGAGTTAAACCTTTCCTGTGATTGAGCGGTTTGGAAACAGTAGTTTTTTACAATCTGCAGAAGGATACTTGTGAGCCGATTGAGGTCTATGGGGTGATAAGAAATATGTTCACATAAAAACTAGATAGAAAGTTTCTGAGAAACTTCTTTGTGATATTAGCTTTTATCTCCTAGAGTTGAAAATTTCTTTTTATTGAGCAGTTTGGGAACAGTCTTTTTGTAGTATCTGCAAATGGATATTACCAGTGCTTTGAGGCCTATGGTGAAAAAGGAAATATCTTCACATAAAAACAAGGCGGAAGGATTCTGAGAAACTTCTTTGTGATGTCTGCATTCATCTCACAAAGTTGAACCTTTCTTTTGATTGAGCAGTTTTGAAACACTCTCTTTGTAGTATCTGCAAGTGGATATTTGGAACGCTTTGAGGCCTATAGTGGAAAAGGAAATATCTTCACATAAAAAACTAGAAAGAAGAATTCTGAGAAACTTCCTAGGAAGGTGTATTTTCGTCTCACACTGTTAAACCCGTCTTTTGATTGAGCAGCTTCGATACAGTCATTTAGTAGAATATGAAAGGGAATATTTGAGAGCCCATTGAGGCCTCTGGGGAAATAAGAAATATCTTCACCTAAAAACTAGACAAAATCTTTCTGAGAAACACCCTTGTGATGTGTGCATTCATCATACAGAGTTGAAATTTCTTTTGATTGAGCAGTTTGGATACAGTCATTTGTATTATCTGTAAATGGATATTTGGAGTGTACTGAGGCCTATGGTGAAAAAGGAAATATCCTCACATAAAATTCAGATGGAAGCATTCTTAGAAACTCCTTTGTGATGTGTGCACTCATCTCACAGACTTCAAACTTTCTATTGATTGAGCAGTTTTGAAACACTCTTTTTGTAGAATCTGCCAGTGGATATTTGGAGCGCTCTGTGGCCCATAGTGGAAACGGAAATATCTTCATAAAAAAAATAAACAGAAGCACTTTGAGAAACTTCTCTGTGTTGTATGCAGTCATATCTCAGACATGAAAATTTCTTTGGTACAGCAGTTTTAAAACACTCTTTTTGGAGATTCTGAAAGTAGATATTTGGAGAGACTTGAGGACTACGGTGGAAAAGGAAATATCTTCACAAAAAAACTAGACAGAAACATTCTGAGAAGCTTCTTTGTGATGTGTGCGTCCATCTCGAAGAGTTGAACCTTTCTTTTGATTGCGCATTTTTGAGGCACTCTTTTTGTAGAATCTTCAAGTGGATATTTGGAGGGTTTGTGGCCTGTGGTGGAAAAGCAAATATATTCACATAAAAACTAGATAGAAGCATTCTGAGGAACTTCTTTGGGATGTGCTCATTCACCTCACAGAGTTGAGCTTTTCTTTTGATTGAGCAGTTTGGAAACAGTCTTTTTGTAGAATCTGCAAGTGGATATTTGGAGCGCATGACGGCCTATAGTGGAAAAGGAAATATATTCACATAAAAACTAGACAGAGAAGCATTCTGAGAAACTTCTTTGTGATGTGCTCATTCAACTCACAGAGTTGAACTTTTCTTTTGTTTGAGCAGTTTGCAAACAGTCTTTCTGTAGAATCTGCAAGTGGATATTAGGAGTGCATTACGGCCTATAGTGGAAAATGAAATATCTTCACATAAAAACTAGACAGAAACATTATGAGAAACCGCTTTGTGATGCGTGCATTCATCACCAGAGTTGAGTTTCTCTTTTGATTGAACAGTTTTGAAACACTCTTTCTGTAGAATCTGAAAGGGATATTTGGAGCGCTTTGCAGCCTATGGTGAAAAAGGAAATATCTTCACATAAAAGCTAGACAGAAGCATTCTAAGAAAGTGCTTTGTGACGTGTGCATTCATCTGACAGTGTTGAACCTTTCTTTCGATTGAGCAGTTTTGAAACACTCTTATTGTAGAATCTGCAAGTGGATATTTGGAGAGTTTGAGGCCACTGGTGGAAAAGCAAATATCTTCACATCAAAACTAGACAGGATCATTATAAGTAATCTCTTTGAGATGCGTGCATTCAACTCACAGAGTTGGACATTTCCTTTGATTGAGCAGTTTGGAAACAGTCTTTATGCAGTATCTGCAAACGGATATTTGGAGCACTTTCAGGCCTATAGTAGGAAAGGAAATATCTTCACATAAAAACCATACAGAAAAATTACTGAGACACTACTTAATGTTGTGTGCATTCATCTCACAGAGTTGAAACTTTCTTTTGATTGAGCCGTTTGGAAACACTCTTTTAGTAGAAACTGCAAGGGGATATTTGGAGCGTTTTGTGGTCTATGGTAGAAAAGGATATATCTTCACATAAAAATAGAAGCATTCTGAGGAACTTCATGATGTGTGCATTCATCTCAAAGAGTTGAACTTTTCTTTTGATTGAGCAGCTTTGAAAATCTCTTTCTGCAGAATCTGCAAGTTGATATTTGGAGTGCTTTGTGGCCTATAGTAGAAAAGGAAATATCTTTACATAAAACTAGACAGAAGCATTCTGAGAAACTTCTTTGTGATGTGTGCATTCATCTCACAGAGTTGAATCTTTCTTTTGTTTGAGCAGTTTTGAAACTCTCTTTTTGTAGAATCTTCAAGTGGATATTTTCAGCGCTTTGAGGCCTATGGTGGAAAAGAAAATATCTTCACATAAAAACTAGTCAGAAGTATTCTGAGAAACTTCTTTGTGACGTGTGCATTCAACTCATGGAGTTCAACCTTTCTTTTGATTCAGCAGTTTGGAAACAGTCTTTTTACAGTATCTGCAAATGGCTATTTGGAGAGCTTTGAGGCCTATGGTGGAAAAGGAAATCTCTTCCCATAAAAACTAGACAGCAGCATTCTGAGAAACTTATTTGTGATCTGTGCATTCATCTCACAGAATTGAACCTTTCTTTTGATTCAGCAGTTTTGAAACTGTCGTTTTGTAGAATCTGCAAAGGAATATTTGTGAGCCCATTGAGGCTTCTGGGGTGATAGGAAATATCTTCACATTAAAACTAGACAGATACTTTCTGGGAAACTATTTTGTCATGTGTGACTTCTACTCACCGGGTTGAAACTTTCTCTTGATTGAGCAGTTTGGAAACAGTCTTTTTGTAGAATCTGCAAATTGATATTTGGAGTGCTTTTGGCCTACGTTGAAAAACGAAATATCTTCCCATAAAGAGTAGGCAGAAGTTTTGGAGAAATTTATTTTGATGTGTGCATTCATCTCAAACAGTTGAAATTTTCTTTTGTTTGAGCAGTGTGGATACACTCGTTTCGTAGAGTCTGCAAGTGGATATTTGGAGCACTTTGTGGCCTATAGTGAAAAAGGAAATATCTTCACATAAAAACTAGATAGAAGAATTCTGAGAAACTTCCTTTGAATGGGCGCATTCATCTCACACTGTTGAACTTTTTTTTTGATTGGGCACCTTCTAAACAGTCATTTTGTAGAATATGCAAAGGAATATTTGTGAGCCCATTGATGCCTCTGGGGAAACAGGAAATATCTTCACATAAAAACGAGACAGAATCTTTCTCAGAAACTTCTTTGTGATATGTGCATTCATCTCACTGAGTTGAACTTTATTTTGATTGAGCAGTTTGGAAACAGTCTTTTTCTAGTATCTGCAAATGGATATTTTAAGCGCTCTGAGGCCTACGGTGAAAAAGGAAATATCTTCAATATAAATCAGACAGAAGCATTCATAGAAACTTCTTTGTGATGTGTGCATTCATCTCACCGACTAGAACCTTTCTTTTGATTGAGCAGTTTTGAAACACTCTTTTAGCGGAATCTGCAAGTGTTTCTTTGTAGCGCATGAAGAATATGGTGGAAAAGGAATCTTCTTCACATAAAAACGAGACGGAAGCATTCTGAGAAACTTCTCTGTGATGGATGCATTCATTTCCCAGAGTTAAACCTTTCCTGTGATTGACCGGTTTGGAAACAGTAGTTTTTTACAATCTGCAGAAGGATACTTGTGAGC
Source organism: Homo sapiens (assembly GCF_000001405.40). Lineage (NCBI taxonomy): Eukaryota > Metazoa > Chordata > Mammalia > Primates > Hominidae > Homo > Homo sapiens. The sequence goes on from NC_000021.9 coordinate 10,970,737, forward strand.
CGATTGAGGTCTATGGGGTGATAAGAAATATGTTCACATAAAAACTAGATAGAAAGTTTCTGAGAAACTTCTTTGTGATATTTGCTTTTATCTCCTAGAGTTGAAACTTTCTTTTTATTGAGCAGTTTGGGGACAGTCTTTTTGTAGTATCTGCAAATGGATATTACCAGTGCTTTGAGGCCTATGGTGAAAAAGGAAATATCTTCACATAAAAACAAGGCAGAAGCATTCTGAGAAGCTTCTTTTTGATGTCTGCATTCATCTCGCAGTGTTGAAACTTTCTTTTGATTGAGCAGTTTTGAAACGCTCTATTTGTAGTATCTGCAAGTGGATATTTGGAACGCTTTGAGGCCTATAGTGGAAAAGGAAATATCTTCACATAAAAAACTAGAAAGAAGAATTCTGAGAAACTTCCTAGGAAGGTGTATTTTTGTCTCACACTGTTAAACCCGTCTTTTGATTGAGCAGCTTCGATACAGTCATTTAGTAGATTATGAAAAGGAATATTTGAGAGCCCATTGAGGCCTCTGGGGAAATAAGAAATATCTTCACCTAAAAACTAGACAAAATCTTTCTGAGAAACACCCTTGTGATGTGTGCATTCATCATGCACAGTTGAACTTTCTTTTGATTGAGCAGTTTGGATACAGTCATTTGTATTATCTGTAAATGGATATTTGGAGTGTATTGAGGCCTATGGTGAAAAAGGAAATATCCTCACATAAAATTCAGATGGAAGCATTCTTAGAAACTCCTTTGTGATGTGTGCACTCATCTCACAGACTTCAAACTTTCTATTGATTGAGCAGTTTTGAAACACTCTTTTTGTAGAATCTGCCAGTGGATATTTGGAGCGCTCTGTGGCCCATAGTGGAAAAGGAAATATCTTCATAAAAAAAATAAACAGAAGCACTTTGAGAAACTTCTCTGTGTTGTATGCAGTCATAACTCAGACATGAAACTTTCTTTGGTACAGCAGTTTTAAAACACTCTTTTTGGAGATTCTGAAAGTAGATATTTGGAGAGACTTGAGGACTACGGTGGAAAAGGAAATATCTTCACAAAAAAACTAGACAGAAACATTCTGAGAAGCTTCTTTGTGATGTGTGCGTCCATATCGAAGAGTTGAACCTTTCTTTTGATTGAGCATTTTTGAAGCACTCTTTTTGTAGAATCTTCAAGTGGATATTTGGAGGGTTTGTGGCCTGTGGTGGAAAAGGAAATATATTCACATAAAAACTAGATAGAAGCATTCTGAGAAACTTCTTTCTGATGTGCTCATTCAACTCACAGAGTTGAGCTTTTCTTTTGATTGCGCAGTTTGGAAACAGTCTTTTTGTAGAAACTGCAAGTGGATATTTGGAGCGCATTACGGCCTATAGTGGAAAAGGAAATATATTCACATAAAAACTAGACAGAAGCATTCTGAGAAACTTCTTTGTGATGTGCTCATTCAACTCACAGAGTTGAACTTTTCTTTTGTTTGAGCAGTTTGCAAACAGTCTTTTTGTAGAATCTGCAAGTGGATATTAGGAGTGCATTACGGCCTATAGTGGAGAATGAAATATCTTCACATAAAAACTAGACAGAAACATTATGAGAAACTGCTTTGTGATGCGTGCATTCATCACCAGAGTTGAGTTTCTCTTTTGATTGAACAGTTTTGAAACACTCTTTCTGTAGAATCTGAAAGGGGTATTTGGAGCGCTTTGCAGCCTATGGTGAAAAAGGAAATATCTTCACATAAAAGCTAGACAGAAGCATTCTAAGAAAGTGCTTTGTGACGTGTGCATTCATCTCACAGTGTTGAACCTTTCTTTTGATTGAGCAGTTTTGAAACACTCTTATTGTAGAATCTGCAAGTGGATATTTGGAGAGTTTGAGGCCACTGGTGGAAAAGCAAATATCTTCACATCAAAACTAGACAGAATCATTAGAAGTAATCTCTTTGAGATGCGTGCATTCAACTCACAGAGTTGGACATTTCCTTTGATTGAGCAGTGTGGAAACAGTGTTTTTGCAGTATCTGCAAACGGATATTTGCAGCACTTTCAGGCCTATAGTAGGAAAGGAAATATCTTCACATAAAAACTAGACAGAAAATTACTGAGAAACTTCTTAATGATGTGTGCATTCATCTCACAGAGTTGAAACTTCTTTTGATTGAGCAGTTTGGAAACACTCTTTTAGTAGAAACTGCAAGGGGATATTTGGAGCGTTTTGTGGTCTATGGTAGAAAAGGATATATCTTCACATAAAAATAGAAGCATTCTGAGGAACTTCATGATGTGTGCATTCATCTCAAAGAGTTGAACTTTTCTTTTGATTGAGCAGCTTTGAAAAACTCTTTCTGCAGAATCTGCAAGTTGATATTTGGAGTGCTTTGTGGCCTATAGTAGAAAAGGAAATATCTTTACATAAAACTAGACAGAAGCATTCTGAGAAACTTCTTTGTGATGTGTGCATTAATGTCACAGAGTTGAACCTTTCTTTTGTTTGAGCAGTTTTGAAACTCTCTTTTTGTAGAATCTTCAAGTGAATATTTTTAGCACTTTGAGGCCTGTGGTGGAAAAGAAAACATCTTCACATAAAAACTAGTCAGAAACTTTCTGAGAAACTTCTTTCAGATGTGTGCTTTCATCTCACAGATTTGAACTTTTCTTTTGATTGAGCAGTTTTGAAACAGTCTTTTTGTACAATCTATAAGTGGATATTTGGGGCACTTTCAGGCCTATGGTGGAAAAAGACACATCTTCCCATAAAAACTAGACAGCAGCATTCTGAGAAACTTATTTGTGATCTGTGCATTCATCTCACAGAGTTGAACCTTTCTTTTGATTCAGCAGTTTTGAAACTGTCGTTTTGTAGAATCTGCAAAGGAATATTTGTGAGCCCATTGAGGCTTCTGGGGTGATAGGAAATATCTTCACATAAAAACTAGACAGATACTTCCTGAGAAACTATTTTGTCATGTGTGACTTCTACTCACCGGGTTGAAACTTTCTCTTGATTGAGCAGTTTGGAAACAGTCTTTTTGTAGAATCTGCAAATTGATATTTGGAGTGCTTTTGGCCTACGTTGAAAAACGAAATATCTTCCCATAAAAAGTAGGCAGAAGTTTTGGAGAAATTTATTTTGATGTGTGCATTCATCTCACACAGTTGAAATTTTCTTTTGATTGAGCAGTGTGGATACACTCGTTTTGTAGAGTCTGCAAGTGGATATTTGGAGCACTTTGTGGCCTACAGTGAAAAAGGAAATATCTTCACATAAAAAGTAGATAGAAGAATTCTGAGAAACTTCCTTTGAATGGGCGCATTCATCTCACACTGTTGAACTTTTTTTTTGATTGAGAACCTTCTAAACAGTCATTTTGTAGAATATGCAAAGGAATATTTGTGAGCCCATTGATGCCTCTGGGGAAACAGGAAATATCTTCACATAAAAACGAGACAGAATCTTTCTCAGAAACGTCTTGGTGATGTGTGCATTCATCTCACTGAGTTGAACTTTACTTTGATTGAGCAGTTTGGAAACAGTCTTTTCTAGTATCTGCAAATGGATATTTTAAGCACTCTGAGGCCTACGGTGAAAAAGGAAATATCTTCAATATAAATCAGACAGAAGCATTCATAGAAACTTCTTTGTGATGTGTGCATTCATCTCACCGACTAGAACCTTTCTTTTGATTGAGCAGTTTTGAAACACTCTTTTAGCGGAATCTGCAAGTGTTTATTTGGAGCGCATGAGGAATAGGGTGGAAAAGGAATCTTCTTCACATAAAAACGAGACGGAAGCATTCTGAGAAACTTCTCTGTGATGGATGCATTCATTTCACAGAGTTAAACCTTTCCTGTGATTGAGCGGTTTGGAAACAGTAGTTTTTTTACAATCTGCAGAAGGATACTTGTGAGCCGATTGAGGTCTATGGGGTGATAAGAAATATGTTCACATAAAAACTAGATAGAAAGTTTCTGAGAAACTTCTTTGTGATATTTGCTTTTATCTCATAGAGTTGAAAATTTCTTTTTATTGAGCAGTTTGGGAACAGTCTTTTTGTAGTATCTGCAAATGGATATTACCAGTGCTTTGAGGCCTATGGTGAAAAAGGAAATATCTTCACATAAAAACAAGGCAGAAGGATTCTGAGAAACTTCTTTTTGATGTCTGCATTCATCTCACAGAGTTGAACCTTTCCTTTGATTGAGCAGTTTTGAAACGCTCTATTTGTAGTATCTGCAAGTGGATATTTGGAACGCTTTGAGGCCTATAGTGGAAAAGGAAATATCTTCACATAAAAAACTAGAAAGAAGAATTCTGAGAAACTTCCTAGGAAGGTGTATTTTCGTCTCACACTGTTAAACCCGTCTTTTGATTGAGCAGCTTCGATACACTCATTTAGTAGAATATGAAAGGGAATATTTGAGAGCCCATTGAGGCCTCTGGGGAAATAAGAAATATCTTCACCTAAAAACTAGACAAA